>NC_000014.9:71884440-72035955 GCF_000001405.40 Homo sapiens | reverse complement strand
TATGGCAGTGGTTACATAAATGTATACATGTGTCAAAATTCATAGAACTGTACTCACATACAACGTCAATTTTACCATATGTTTATTTAAAAAGTAAAATTTTAAGAAGTTAAAACAAATAAATAAAATGTAGATGTGCTGAGCACTAATCAGAGCCTCATTTTTGCTATTTCCCCTTTAAATACTGAAGTTCCCAAAATGCTCTTTGGAAAAGCACAGGGCACAAATGCTACTGTGACCCATGTTTTTCTTGGGCATGTCCTCAAACTTTGGCTAAATAAACCTCTATCAATTGAGATTCACATTGCAAAACATATAGGATGCAGCAAAAGCAATACTAGGAAGGAATTTTATAGCAGTAAATACCTACGTTAACAAGGAAGAAAGAAATTAACAACCTAACTTTACACCTCAAGGAACTAGAAAAACAAACTAAACCCAAAGTTGCGAGAAAGAGGGAAATAATAAAGACTAGAGTAAAAATAAACAAATTAGAGAATAGAAAAATAATAGAAAAAAACAACAAAAATTGAGTTTTTTTAAAGACCAATAGAATTGATAAATCCTCAGACTAAATATAGAGGATTCAAATAACAAAAATCAAAATGAAAGAGGAGATATTATACCTGATGTCCAAATAAAAAGGATTATAATATATTGCTATGAATAAGCATATGCCAGTAAATTGGATAATCTAAAAGGAATAAATTCCTACAAACATACCATCTACCAAGACTGAATCATAAAGTAATAAACAATCTGAACATAGCAATATAGCAGTTCCCCCTTATACATGGGGAATACATTCCAAGGCCGCCAGTGAATGCCTGAAACCCTGAATAGTACTGAGCCCTCTATATGCCATGTATTTTCCTATACAGTAATGGGGGAGTAGTGTATACGTAGAAATGCTGGACAAAGGGATGATTTAAGTTCTGGGTGGGATGAAATGGGACAGTGGGAGATTTTATCATGCTACTCAGAATGACATGCAATTTAAAGCTTATTGTTTATTTCCGCAATTTTCCATTTAATATTTTCAGATTGCAGTTGACTGCCAGTACCTGAAACTGCAGAAAGTGAACTCTCAGATAATAGGGGAATATGGTAACTGGAAAGGAAACTAAGTAAGTAATCAAAAACCTCCCAATATAGAAAAGCCCCGGACCAGATGGTTTCACTGGAGAATTATATCAAACATTTAAAGAAGAATTGGCACCACTTCTTCTCAAACTCTTACAAAAAAATTGAAAAAGATGGAAAATTTTCAAACTCATTTTTTTGAGGCCAGCATTACTCTGATACCTAAAGCAGACAAAGATACTACAAGAAAACCACAAGGATCCCTGATAAATACTGATGCAAACATTCGTAACAAAATACTAGCAAACCAAATTCAATAGCACATTAAAGTAATTATACATCATGACCAAGTGGGATATATTCCTGGAATGATAGGATGGCTTAACATACAAAAATCAATCAATGTGATATACCACATTAATAAGGGGCTAAAAACCACATGACTGAATTGGTGCCAAAAAAAAAAAAGCACTGAAAAGAATTCAATACCCTTTCATGACAAAAACACACAAAAAATTTCATTAATAGAAAGAAATTACCTCAAGATAACAGAGACCATATATGAAAATCCCACAGCTAACATCAAACTTAATGGTGAAAAACTGAAAGCTTTTCCTTTAAGTTCAGAAACAAGACAGAGGCCCACTCCTGCCACTTCTCGTCAACATAGTACTAGAAGTCCTAACCCAAGCAATTAGGCAATAAATAAATGGCATCCAAATTGGAGTAAAATTATCTCTCTTCACACAGCAAAACAAATAAACCAATCTTAAAATTGGGCAAAGGACTTGAAGAATAGAGACATCTATGTAAAGAAGATATACTATAAATGGCTAACGAGCATCATGAAAATATATTCAACATGACTAAACATCAAGAAAACGCTAATCAAAAACCATAATCACTTCATGCCTGTTAGGATGGCCACTATCAAAACCAAACAAAAACAAAAAACAAAACAGAAAATACCAAGTGTTGGTGAAGAGGTGAAGAAACTGGAACCCTTGTACACTGCTGGGGAGAATATAAAACCATGCAGCTGCTGTGGAAAACAGGACAGCAGTTCTGAAAAAAAGTAAAAGTAGAATTGCCATATTATCCAGCAATCCTGCCCTTAGATATACAGACAGTCCTCAACATACAACAGTTTGACTTACTATTTTCAACTTTACGATGGTGTGAATGTGATATGTATTCAGCAGAAACCATGCTTTAAATTTTGATCTTTTCCCAGGCTAGCAATATACAGTAACATACTCGCTTATGATTCGGGGCAGTGGCAAAGAGCCACCATTTCCAGTCAGCCACATGATCATGAGGGTAAATAACCAAAGCATCAGCCGAGCACACTGACTCATGCCTGTAATCCCAGCACTTTGAGAGGCTAAGGCAAGAGGACCACTTGAGCCCAGGAGTTCCAGACCAGCTGGGGCAACATAGTGAGACCCCATCTCTACAAATAATAAAAAAAAATAGCCAGACATGGTGGCTCATGCCTGTAGTCCCAGCTACTCGGGAGGTTGAGGTAGGAGGATTACCTGAGCCCAGGGGATTGAGGCTGCAGCAAGCTGTGATCACACCACTGCATTCCAGCCTGGGTGGCAGAGTGAGAGACCTTGTCATGATAACCAACATCAAAAACCCACCAATGCAACCATTTTGTTTTTTACTATTGGTACAGTATTTAATAAATTATATGACAATTTTAACACTTTGCTATAAAATTGACTTTGTATTGGAAGATTTTGCCCAACCATAGACTAATGTAAGTGTTCTTAGCATGTTTAAGGTAGGCTAGGCTAAGCTATTGTGCTTAATTGGTTAGTTGTATTGAACGCATTTTCACCTTATGATAGTTTCAACTGATGATGGGTTTTATCAGGACGTAACTGTAAGTCAAGCATCTGTATATTCAAAAGAATCAAAAATAGAATCATGAAGAGATAAGTGCACACCATGTATATTACAGCATTATTCACAATAGCCAAGTTCGTAGAAGTAACCTAAATGTCAACGGATTAACAGATTTTAAAATTTGATATACATATATATATGCAATAAAATATTATTCAGCCTTAAAAAGAAGGAAATCTGGCAATAAGCTACAATATAGATGAACCTTGAGAACATTATGCTAAGTAACATTAACCAGTCACAAAAAAACAAATACTGCATAAGTCTAGTTATATGAGGTATACTTAAGTAGTCGAAATTTTAGAAATAAAAAGTAGAATGGTGGGTGCCAAGTGTTGGAGGAGGGTGAAGACAAGTTACTGTTCAATGGTTAAAGAGTTTCAGGTTTGCAAAATGAGGTTTCCAGAGATCTGTGGCACAACAATGTACACATAGTTATATTTTACTGTACACTTAAAAAATGGTTACTATGGTAACTTTTGTTATGTTTTTATCACAATAACAAAAACCAAATGTATGAAAAATACCCAGTCTTATTGATAATCAAAGATATGCCAATTACAGTGCTAAAAATATTGAGATATTATTTATTTTGACTTTCCATTTAGCAAAGGAAAATAACCAGTGGTGGCAATGGGTGGTAAACTGATAAACCACTGCTGACTCACATGTGAATTTGCTATAATTCTTTTGGAAAGCAATTTGGAAACATATAGAAAAAGCCTTAATAGTAGTTTTACCAATTTACCCTTCCCACTTCCCCAATTAATTCATTCCTTCATTAATGTTTATTTAATATCTATTATGTAACGGTTAGCAGACACAGCACTGAAAAAAAGGTGTGGTCTCTATATGAAATTTATAGCGTGTTGGTAGAAAATAAGTGCTACAAAGTAGACATACAGCAGTCCATTAAACTATACAACAGGAGACTTAATCTAGGATTAGTTTAAGTACCCCAGAAAAGGAGCAGTGTGGAGGAATGGTGACTATACCAAAATGTCCATTTCAGCATTATTAATAAACTATTGGCACTGCAAACATTAAAATGGGCTAACTCTGTAAACTATGGCATAGGCATTTATTGGAGTATTATCCCAATCATTTAAAAAAGTGTTGTCAGTAGCAATCTGGAGTAGTCAATTAGGCTGTTCCCTAATAGTCCAGTCCTGGACATACAGGATTGCGCTTGCCCACCTTCTTTGAAGTTAGCATGGCCACATGACTTGCTTTGGTCAATGAAATATAAGCAAGTGTTATTTCTCTTCTAGAAAGGCTTTAACAGCCAGTGCAAGGATTACCATATTTTCCTATGCTGCTTTGGTGACTGTGAGTGCCTGTGCATGGATGGAGCCTCCCATCAGTGTCAGCATGGAGTCTTCAATTCCAATGAGCAGTTTCCTGTTGATCTACATTATCCATGTAATAAACCTTTGTTGTCTTAAGTCACTAAGATTTGAGGAGTTATGTTACCACAAGCATCTAAATAGTGTTTTTACTCCATGGGAAATATGTCAATTATATTAAATAGTCCATTTAAAAGAATACAATAAAAATCGTATACTCTATAAGTACACCTCTACATTAAAAACATCTTACTCACAGAAAAAAGCCTAACAGTCCATACAAATATTAAAAATAATTATCTTTCCATGGACATGCAGGAAATGTTTCCTAAGTATCCATTCATAGCATGCATTCATGGATTATCACTAATGGGTAAAATACCATTCCTTAAACAGCACAATAAAAAATTTCAGGGGGAATTCTATCATTTAATATTTTCAAAATAGAAGTTTTTCAGAAAGAAGAAATTATCCCTTTGAATGAACATGATCTCCTGAAAAAAACTGAGTCTACTTGGCCAATGTCTGAATCTATTCAGTATATATTTATGCTTACCCACAACTACAACCTAAGAGTCTTGCATCCTGTGTTATTAATAACTAATCTCAAATCCTAAAAAAAAAAAAAAAAATTGTTGCTAAAGTTCTTATTTCTAGATTTCCAGCTTAATATGTAAGTGCTATCAAGCCCCAGAATCCATATCAGCTGCAAATGAATCCAATTAAATATTGCTTTATTTAAAGAATATCATTGACCTGTTTTAAGCTAAGTCACTGGTCAGGAAAAAATGACTTTACTTTTGGCTGTAAAGCCTATTCCCCAGGGAACTTGATTTCTACCACATTCTTCCCACCCCTTTCACCTTTAAGATAATGATATTGTTAACACAAGAAGTTTCCAATTACATTATAATTGTTTGAACAAAGCATTTACGCTCCACTTATCTTACATAATGGTACATAATTCACATCATGGCTGAAAGGCCTCTCCAGGTGCAGTAAAAAGCCTACACCTTAACAATTATGAAATCTTTCTAGTAATTTATAATTTGATCATCTAATTTTTTCTAACTATAAGAAACTCTGATTGTGAATACTTACAACATAAGGCACAAACTCATACCATAATCAACCATGTCCATGATATGATCAACACTGATACCAGCCAACCTACAGCTGCTTTCCTTTAGTATTTGCATAATATTTTTCTATCCTTTTATTTTTTCAAACTTTTATTTCCTTATCTTTTAAATATGCCTCCTGAAAAGTTTTTTCATCCATGTCTTTATCTTTTAATTGCATCATTTAGTCCATTTATATGTAATGTAATTGCTGAAATATTTGTGTTTACATCTACCACTGTGTGCAGTGCTTTTATCCCAATGTTCAAATTTTCCTCCTCCTTTGTTGCTATTGTTTGGCACATCTTTAACCATTAATATGGAAGTTATATGCTCTTCACTATCCTTTTAGGAGTTATCCTAACAATTATAATATGTGTCATTAATAACTTATTAAAGACTAATATTAACATTTCCACTTCTTCCCAGACAATGCGAAGATCTTAGAACTCTTTACCTTTTAGTCCTCTGTAGAATGACGAGATAATTGACAGGATAAGAATCAAAGAAAGAGAAAAGATTGCATATTTTGCTCAGAATTTAAACTCCTGTTCTATCTATGAAAGCAGACTACTGACCTCAAGGAAGAAATGCAAATTCCATCACTACTTATTAAATATGACAGTCAGTATTCACCTTCAGTTCTCAAATGAGCTGGTTCTCATCACAGAAAAAATAAAGCACTTGACCTTCCTGTCTCCAGCTTAAGGTCCAAGATCTTCTTTATTTTTTTTCCTTATCCAAAGCCCTTCCTCTATCCAAATGAAGGGAGGAAAATGCTTCTTGTCACATGCAGGTAGGGGAACACTTCTACCAGGCATTGCTTTGGAACATATTTATCACATCCTACCGCTAATAAGCAGGAATCAGAACACACATTCCCACTCCATCCACAGTTGGGTTCAGTTCCTGCTCCTGCAGCAAAGGAAAGTACTTATGGGTGCTGGATGCAGACTGTATAAGAGGCAAGCCCTCTCTGTGAAGATATAACTTAAGAAATCCAGCAGAATACACGGAGGGAACTTTCATAGCAGTTCACATCACTGAACATGAGGTACTCTAGATACTTTCATAATCAAGAAATCCAACAGCTGAATCACACTCAGAGGACACAGAGTCTGATGCATCAAAATACAGTGATGGCTGCAGTTTTCTTATGTGGCCAAATGACAAAAGAAATGTACATCACTCCTCAGCAAGGCCACTGTTGTACAAGTTCTGTCAAGATCTGCAGTCTTTGGGTGACAAGGATTATGCAGTGGCTATTGCATTTGAAACTATACTACGGGGCTCCAACATAGAACCCAGGTAGCTGTCACAGAACGAGGGATAAAGAAAAACTGGTTCCTGCTATAGGTGACACTCAATAGTGTTTACAAGTGTCCTGCAACTTACAAGCAATGTCCACGTTCAAAATATGTTATCCATCCTCTGTTGACTCTTCCTGATGTAAGAAAATTCTTAAAATATAACCCTGCCTAACTCATCAATGGAACCCAAACAATAAAAGTGAGCATTACTCTAGAAATCACCTAATGTGTTATGGAGATTCTGCTTTTATGACGCCAAATATTTATGTCATATTTCAATTAGGACTTGACCTACAGGTGAGAAACTGTCAGAAAGACATCAAGAAAATGTCATTTTTTACTTTGCAGTCCCTAGACAGCCAAAAGCAACAAACAGAGGGCCAATCTGTGTTGGTTTTTCAACTACAGCTTCTAAAAATTTCACTAAAGCCAAACAGCACCAAGTCTTCTCTAGTTACTTCAACTTCCCACCATGAATCACCTAAGCCTTCCATACTCACTAGCGGAGCACAGACGCAGCCTTAGAATAAGGTCTCCATGTGCTGACATTTAAAACAAAAACCTAAGATAACAATATGTTCCAGAAGGATGCCTGTCCTTTGAAACCATACCATGAGGATATTTCTCTACAGGGCTTATTCACTGCACTTTGAAGTATAGCATTAGCATGCTATTACCAGAAAAGATGTAAGAGTCACTATGCACAGTGTTTAGTATGTTTAAATAAATTCTCCTTTCAGAGCTAACTGTAAGATGTATTAGCTAAGAAGGAGGAAGGATGAAAGAATACCTTGAGCTCTACTAGTTCCTTGTTTGTCTTTTATTTCCTGCTACTGGATGTAATTGGTACTCAGGAATTCCACAAACAGCTGCCAATCTAAGGAGAGGGTGTCTGCAAACCAAGCTGCAGTTCAAATGTGAACACGCAGAACATATCCTCGAAATATCCAAGGCAGTCTGGAGATGTGCCTGAAGAAATAGGTTCAGTAGTTGAGATTGATGAAAAAGAAAATGACTTCCAACCAGATAGAAGTTCGTGTTTTCAGAAGGGCAAAGCAACCACAAATTAAAGGCAGCCTACCTGCCCACACAAAACTGCAAGGTTGGCTTTGTAAATCCAATATCAGTGTCAGCAAGGGCCAGCAGCACAAACACGCAGTCACCCAGCACAGCGGCAGTCCCCAAACGAAAACAATGAGTGTGTATGGCATTCATATCCTAAACCAACTGAGATCATGCTTCAAAAATTAACAAAAACACTCTCAACATCAGAGAGTCAAGTCATCTCACCGAAGACACAACTGTGCAAAAGAGATAAAAGGAAGCCTATTCCAGTCTTCTGGTTGGCATCTACCGCTTTCTGTAAGAAAGGTGATCCGGATAAATCATAACTGACAAATGCAGACATGAAGCTTTACATGTAATGACTAAGGGAAAAAATGGTTAATATATTCAGGAGTAGACCAACTCCACTCTGTCTTGGGCAGGCATGCACAATGGCTTGAGACTCTACTCTGACCCTAGACTCTGTACCTCCCAGACTATGTACCTGAAATGATACAGCAGCTTTGCAACAAAGTGACCAACCTCTCCAGAATCACGCTTTTGACATCACTGATCATCTGTCACTGGGCTACAACAGGGTAGTAAAACCACTTCATTTATGGGACTCCCAGTGGAAGAGGGTGGGCAGATTTGGTAGCACACAGTGGAGGGTGTACTGACTCACATTGTCAATGTCATAGACATTCTTCTAGATCTACAGGATCTTTGAACCTAACTGCAAAACTTGTGTGTATATATGCATGTATGTGCATTTATAGATATACAGTAAGGTATAAAGTAAGAGACTCTAAGAGGCACTCCTGACCCTAAGCCTCCATCCCCTTTCTTTCAATATGCACATATGTGCAAGTGTATATTATACACACATGCACACACACACACTCTCTCTCTCTCTCTCTTAAAGCAGAGGACATAGTCCTTCCCTGGGTGGTTTCCTGCCTCCCCGTTGGACTTGAAGCAAAATCCCAAATCCTGACCATGCCATGACCCACAAGGCCCTGAAGGATCAGCCTCCACCCATTTCCTCTCCAGCCTCCTCTTCTACTCCTTCCCCAGACACGCAGGCATCCTCTCCTACCTTAAGACCTTTCCTTCTTTTTGGAAGCCCCAGGCCTAGATCTGTGAATGTCTGGACTCTTCTCAAATCATATAGGTCTCTTCATAAACCTTGCACCCACAAAGAGGCTCTCCTGAGCTTCCCATCCAAAGTAGCCCCCCCTAGCACCTGCCCTACCCAACCTCTTACCTGTGCTATTGTCTCTGTAGCCATACACTACATACATACTGATGTGTGCTTGTTTTTTCAAATAACAATGAGATCACCACTTAGTATCTGACACAGAACTCCAAGGCTGAATACATTGCTCATCACAGAAGAGAGCTATGCTGGCCAAACAGTGTCTGTGAGCAGGACAGATGGCTGATGGCTTAGAGGGCTTTGAAAGCATGGAGCTCTGTGGTTGTGAGATGTTCAGAGGCACACGTGGGTTGACAGCACGTGGGTGCTCAGCTGAGGCTGTAATTGATTCTTTGATTGGCTGGCACTCAGAGAGATGTTTACTGGAAACTGCATCCCTGATGGGCTGAAGTAAGGATTTGACACTGGTCAGTTCTGCCAGTTTTAAAACCAACTTTCACTAAGACAAGTTGTTGTTGACCAAATGAACAGATTTTAAATGGGTTCTGATGGCTACTTTTTTTTTTCTTTTTGAGATGGAGTCTCTGTCTGTCACCCAGGCTAGAGTGCAGTGGCACAATCTCAGCTCACTGCAACCTCTGCCTCCTGGGTTCAAGCGATTCTTCTGCCTCAGCCTCCTCAGTAGCTGGGATTACAGACATGTGCCACCATGCCCGGCTAATTTTCATATTTTTAACAGAGACAGGGTTTCACCATGTTAGCCAGGCTAGTCTCGAACTCCTGACCTCAGGTGATTCACCTGCCTTGGCCTCCCAAAGTGCTGGGATTACAGGTGTGAGCCACCATGCCCGGCCCCTGATGGCTACTTATTACCAAGGCTATGAAACAATCAGTTTCATAGCCTTAGGTTTCTCCTAAGTTTGAGGGAACTTTTTATTCGACTATTCTCTGAAGTTCAACTTCATGTGATGAGGTTTGTCTGTTTTTATTCATCCTGCTCATTATTGAATGAATAATTGTTTTTTGCTGTGTTACTGATAGTGAAAGCTTTTATTTTGAGGTTTGTCCCTTTATTCTTACAGCATAATATAGTGGTAAGAACACGGCTTTATAACCACACATGGGCTTTGGATCTTGGCTCTGACATCAACTAGCTTTGGGTCTTCCTAAACCTCTATTTCATTATTTAAAAGAAAGGGGGAAGAATGATAGCATCTACCACTCAAGGCTCCTCTGAGGATTACTGAAATAATGTCTAGTTCCTAACATGTAAGTGTCAAAAATATTAATCATGTATATTACTAATTTGAAAGTTTCTGAAGGGCTCAAAGATATTCAGACCATAAAAAGAGGATGATCAGACTTGGCCCTATGGAAAGGCACAGAGTAAGGTCTGAAATAAAAGACTCTAAGAGGCTCTCCCCACCCGAAATCCCCTATCTCCATTCCTCCTATCCTTCCTGTCCAATTTTGCTTCCCTTCAACCTCTCTCAGAGGTTAATCACTCCTGATATTCCCAACATTAATATCTTTTATGCCTGGAGATAT
Source organism: Homo sapiens (assembly GCF_000001405.40). Lineage (NCBI taxonomy): Eukaryota > Metazoa > Chordata > Mammalia > Primates > Hominidae > Homo > Homo sapiens. The sequence goes on along the minus strand of NC_000014.9, from coordinate 72,025,430 downwards.
TTTAGGTGAGTTAAGTCATTTTCTCCCAAAGAAACACTATTCGGCAAGTACATTATGTTAATCTATTTTTGTTAACCCTGTATAATTAATTGTGACCTACCAAATAACAGAAACCAGAAACACCGAGACACGGGACAGATACAACTTGAAGGGGACTATTGGATGCTGATTTGGCCCTGTTGGAGCAGAGGGCTCAATGGGCCTGAGGTTCAAGGCAAAGTTCTGGCTTAACTCTGAACTTTGCTCTGCTGTTTTGCTTAAGTCCAGTCCTAGCAAAATGATAGTTTTCCAGGTCTACTTAGGATTTAACTCATTCGCTCTCTCAAACTCCCTCTTTCTGTCTTTATATACAGAAACATAGGGACACGTATAGTCTCACTCAGCCTCTCTGTCCCTAGCTCTTGCCAATCAGAATCTCTAGTACCCTTAATTAGGTTTATGGGCACGAAGAAGCCTCAGGCTAAGTATTTCTTTGCAACTGTCTGAAAACTGCCAAGAGCTGAGTGTGTTGGCTCACACTGATAGTGAACTGTCCTCCTTCTATAGGACATTGCTTCACATTCCTTGAATTTTGTTATATTTTTGTCCCTGGATCTCGTTAATGCAGATACATTAAACTCACTCCACATAAAACAGAATAGAGATCACAGCACAACCTAAGGGCAGACTGTCCTGGGCTGGAATCCTCTCTGCCAACTCACTTATCTGTGTTACTTTGGGAGAGCCACCTAAGCCTGCTGAGCTAGTTTGTTCATTTATGCCCATCTTGTGGGACTTTTCTGAGAATTTCGACCACAGAAACCTATTTCAACATAGGTACTCATCAGGTAGCTGCTTAAAATACACAGGGGTACCAAGTTTTTCAACCCGTGAGTGCAAGAGCTGGATATGAATCCATTAGTGATGCTGGGGACGAATTTCTGAGAAAATATGGAAGCAAGGGCAGCATGTGTTCTCCTGGAGGACAGGGGATAAGCAGGAACAACAGAAACCCACTTGGCCTGGGATAGAACTGGTTTTAAATCCCAGAGCTCAGCCAACGATGAAAACCTTACTTGACCTTGACTCAAGTAAAGAAAGTCAGTGCCAGCCACGTATCTGAATCCTGTGTGCACATTCAACGTTAGGAACAAGAAATTGTGATGTACTGTTAGACGGTGTGCACAGGGGCAAGGTTCTGAGTCAACCCCAAGCCTTCTGTGTTCACTGGAGTGATTTTATTTCCTCCTGTTCTTAAGAAGGCACCACCTGGTGGTCACTACCAGAAATGACAGGGCAGAATTACAAAGCCTCTCAACTTCTCCCAGGCAGCAATTATTTTTCATTCATTCAACAAATATTTACCGAGTCCTCGTTATGTGCTAGACACAGTGCTAAGTGCTACATGTACAAAGCAGAATCTAATTGAGTAGCAAATCCCAATGAGCTCATTGTCGCGAGCACTTCTGAGTGCTGGAGGTATACATGGCTTTCTCCCCCAGAAACGAGAGCAAGGAGTAAGTTCATGTTCTAACTTGGACCAAGCCCTCTGCGGTTCCACCTCCCTCTCTCTGTGAAATCCCCTCCCTTACCTGAGGAGATGCATTTGTAAATAAATGGCATTCCCTTCCACTGTATTCCTCCTGCCTGTCATTCATCTTTCCAAATACTCCAGGACCAGGTCTCATTCCATTTATCAAGTGAAATGTTCTGTTCAATTTTCCCCTGAGGAAGGCTTGAATTAGGAAGAGGATGTCATTCAGTTTCTGTTTTGGAAGTTTTAGCTGTTTCCTCATGACTCAAACTGCCTCTGAACATTTCTCTTTTTATTCTAATGCTTTCCTTCCCCCGCCTTCTTTCTGCCAAGCAGGTAAGTGAGGGACAGTGGATTAAGAGAAACGTTCCAGTTGCCTTCTCTCAGTTTCACCCCTTGACATTTTGAGCAAACATTTTCAGAACTCTGATTTCTAAATTTTCCTGGGGAATGTTCTAGTGAATATCTAGTTTTAATCCCTTGAGAATTGATTCAATTTAGGGAAAGAGTCAAATTTTAAATGGAGTCCCTACTGATGACTCAGATAGGTGACTGAACTGGAATAGTGCCATCATCAGTCCAAAAATGAGTCACAGCTATTAAAGAAGGAAATTGACTTTCTTGGGTAGCCGGAAGGCAATTTAGAAAAAGGAGCTCCACCAAATATATTTCCAGCTCCAGGAAGCCCTAGTGAAATATGTACATCTCCCAAGACCATTGCTTAGAAAAGTTAGACTCATTTTGGATATGTAAGCTTTCTCAATAGTTTAGGATCAAGGGCTAAGGAAATTCATGGAAATGGCAAGTTGGTAATAAGATCTTTAAGAGCTATGTCCTCTGATGTTAGGAATGACATGAAACAGGCAGGACACGCCTTCTAACTGACAGGAGAGTTTGGAAGTATAGATGAACACAGACGAAGGTAAGAGAGGAGGTGGAGTCTGAGCTGGGGCATGAAGAAAGAGTGAGTTCAGGTAAAGGGAAAGAAAAAGCACTCACTGTATAAACGTAGGCATCGCTGTGTTTACCTCCATGATACATTTGAGTATGTTCAGCAAAGGTTGTTACAGGAGGGAGCTCAGATACAAAACCAGAAGACAGGTGAAGTACGGTCCAGGCATGAAAGATCTCAAATATTATTCCAGAACATTTGGACTTTTATCCCACTGATAATAGGAAGCATGAAAGAATCCTGAGCCAGCCAAAGAGTGAAAGAGCGAACCAGGGTCTCCATGGTGCTCCACAGCAGGGTATGTGAAGCTTGGTCTGGTGGCTGGAAGGAGCCTGTGGATTCCATTGGACCTGAGTTCAAATCCTGGCTTAGCCACCTCCTGTATTAGCAAGTGACCATAGGAAAGTCTGTTTCCTTCTCTGCAAAATGGGAATCATAATTGTAATAGCAACTGGTCCAAAGGTAAGAGGTATCTCCATTGATTGTTCAGTCAGTTACAGATCAAACTCCTTGCTCTACTTTTTTCTCCCTTCTCACTAGTGTACTTGACTAGTCTTGAAAAAAAACTTTGTAAAAGAAAAACAAATTAGTTCAACCATTGTGGAAAGCAGTATGGCAATTCCTCAGAGAGCTAAAAGCAGAACTATCATTCGACCCAGCAATCCCACTGCTGGGTATACAGCCAGAGGAATAGAAATCATTCTACCACAAACACACATGCACATGAATGTTCACTGCAGCACTCTTCACAATAGCAAAGACATGGTGGAGTCAATCTAAATGCCCATTAATGACAGACCGGGTAAAGAAAATGTGGTACGTATATATCATGAAATACTATGCAGCCATAAAAAATAACAAGATCATGTCTCTTGTGGGAACATGGATGGAGCTGGAGGCTATTTTCCTTAGCAAACTAACACAGGAACAGAAAACCAAATACCGCATGTTCTCTCTTATAAGTGGGAGCTAAATGATAAGAACTTATGAACAAAAAGAAACAGCAGACACTGGGGTCTACTTGAGGGTGGGGGTGGCAGAAGGAGAGGAGCAGAAAAAATAATTATTGGGTACTAGGCTTAATACACCTGGCTGATGAAATAATCTGTACAACAACTCCCCATGACATGAGCTTACCTACATAGCAAACCTTCACATGTACCCCTGAACCTAAATAAAACTTTAAAAAAAAAAGGCCAGGCGCAGTGGCCCACACCTGTAATCCCAGCACTATGGGAGGCCGAGGAGGGTGGCTCACCTGAGGTCAGGAGTTCGAGACCAGCCTGGCCAACATGGTGAAACCCCGTCTCTATAAAAATACAAAAAAAAATAAGCCAGGTGTGGTGGCAGGCGCCTGTAATTCCAGCTACTCGGGAGGCTGAGGCAGGAGAATTGCTTGAACCTAGGAGGCAGAGCTTGCAGTGAGCTGAGATCGTGCCATTGCACTCCAGCCCAGGTGACAAGAGCGAAACGCCATCTCAAAAAAAAAAAAAAAAAAAAAGTTAGAAAAAGGAAAAAAGAAAAAAAACATATTGTAATAGCATCAGCAAGTTGTGAGGATCCAGTGTGTGGTATGGAGTAAGCACTCAAATGATGGCTTACGTGTTCCAGTGCTTTGGTGGCCACAGATGGGTGAGAAGAGCAAGACTAGCAGCTAAGATCATTGAGGAGGCTGGCACAGGAATTCAGAAATAAAGTAGCAAAGTGCTCAGCCAGGCAGAGGCTTCCTATCCACAACGGCTGTGGGAAAGAAGATTTTGCTGTCACTTCTATTTCAAAGGAAGGACAAAGACGTCTGGCCATTAGAAAAGAAAAGTGAAGAGAAGGATCAGGGTTCAGACCTAGAGCCTGGGCTCTGGGAGAAAATGGCTCCATCAGCAGAGAACAGAAAGAGTTTGTTCCACGCCAGGCATGCTTGGTCCCAGTTGGCAAGACACAAGGAGGAAGAAATTGGAAGCAAACTGGGCTTGCTCCTCCACTTCCTTGGAGAAGTGCTCTTCTCAAATACCCCCTTATCAGACAGACTTTCCTTGACCAGTTCATCATGCATAGTCACTCTCTACTCGGACTCCATTTCTCCTTCAGAGCACATGTCACCACCTGCTGAAGTCTATGTTTGTTTACTGATGTGTTCTACCACCTGGCTGGATCTCAATAAAACATAGGTTCCAAGAGGGATGGTCTTTGTGTGGTTTATTTCACATCTTTTGTACCAAAAGCAGTGCCTGGCACACAGTAGATGCTTAATAAACATTAGTTATTGTTATTAAAGTGCTTTAAAAAGTGCCTGGCACACAAAACATATTCAGTAAGTATTCGTGCTTATTGGTGAAGATCTCAGAAAACTTGCAAAAAGATAAAGACCTTGGAGAATAGTCACACTTAGTCATCAGGAAGAAGAAGAATTCACAGAGCAGTTACAGAGACAAGAAAACAGTGGCCTCCTTTCGGGCAGAGAAGAGAGACAAGGTGTGCCCACCATGAAGGTCACACCTCAGACCATGCAGCCACAGGCTTTTCCAAGTACTAATGCAGGAAACAGCAAAGGGAGGCAGAACCAGTTCATCCTAGGACAGGTTAACAGTTGTGAGAAACAAAGAATGGGTATTTTCTGAACACAGAAAAGAAAGGCACTTGGTCTGATTAAATTTTTGACTTATAAGAAACTGACTTGCAATGGCCACTTTGGCCCAATCCTTTCCTTTCCTCCTGTCAGATAATTTGGAAATCCAGATTCTGGCAGAGTTCACAAGAGCTCACTTAGCTGGGAGACCAAACATCAAGCTAATTAGAAAATTCATAATTGACTACTCCAGATATACTGGGATTACAAGATCAGCTCATTCAGCAAATATGCCTACTGTACACTGAGAAAATTCTTGTCAAAGTCATTAATATAACTTCATGGTGACATCGGTCTTTGCAGCTGGTAGAATCAAAGTTTTGCCACTTCTCAACCTCTCCCCGACAGGTCAGGGCTCAGAGAGGCTGTCACTGCCCAACCACCTACATCTCAGGTAGCATCAGGTAATATGCAGCATTCCAGAATGCTCTCACAAGGGCCGAGCTAATATTCCCAAGGCTGTCTTTCAATTCAAATCAAGATGCTGCTAAATTAGATCACAAACAAGGGTGAGCTGTGGTGAAGGACCCTGGAGTCCATCCCCAGTCATTAACTGAGATTAAAATGTCAGCCATCTATAAACCCCTAATCAAAAAAACAGAATGACCACTGACTCCACCTTTACCGTCTGCCTTGATTTCAGAGTATGGGCAAATAAATCTAGAGAGAATATAAAAATCCACATCCCTATAGCCTTCCATAAGCCACATGCATGACAGTATTATCTTTAAAACATGTCTTAGTAAACCTGAGAGTAAGACATATTTCTCTAATATCTTGCCAACATGGAAAACAACGGGTTCCTATTAATTCCCTGGAGATCTACCTCACTCAGAAGGAAGTGCTAATGGTGCACCCATCTGCCTTTTTACAAATGTTGAAAACTCCTGAACTGCTAATTTCTGATTTTTCTTGAACTTAAATCCATGAAAAAAATTGCTAATTCTCACAGACAAGCATGATCATTATTCTATCTTAGAATTACCAGGTGAGACTAATGTGTAAAAATATATTAGGAGTGTTAGATGGAAAATAGTGTTGACCTTTGTAGTAGTTACCTTTAGGAAAGGTACACTTGACACCCACTGTTATTACTGTTCAGACATGTAAAATGAGGTAACAGCCAATAAAACAGAGGGGTTTTTGGCCTGGCTCTGCCCTGACATGGGATTGGGCCAGTTTCTTAACTTCTCCACTTAAAAAGAGTTACAGAGTTTCTATAAGAATGGCATGAGCTAATATCAAAGGACTTCACGTGCTGCCTGGCTCATGGTTAGGGAGCTGATTTGGGGGGTTGCTTTTTGTTTTATTTGGGTTTTATCTTTTCAATATTGAAATTTCATTTAGAGGGCAGCCTCTCATTTCAGCAAGAGGGTGAGAAGACACACATTCACACTCACCTCCTACAAGCACCTGGAAATATTATATATATTTTTAAATTCATAGCTGAACCTGCAATAAGAAAGAAGAAATTACCAGGTGCCAGAAACAAAGCAACAACTAAAACCAGAAGCAAGCATAAATTCACTCCCCTTAGAGAGTGACAGGATCATGGTGAGGGAGAAGGAGAGAAACAAGTATTGGTCCAGGGGGAGTAGGCATTTAGATTTCAACTAGCACAGAGGAGAAACAGGCAAAGTCTGTGGGCTCTGCCCGAGGTAGAAGGCTGCTGCCCTGAGTGAGGCTCCTCAAAGAGCTGCAACCACAAAGAGACTCGTATGTTTCTGTCTGTCTCCAAGGGAGGAGAATAAAAGCCTTCCCTTGCAAAGTTTAAACTCCAGACCACCGCCTCTGGAACATTTTGGCGGTACAAATTTAGGCTTCCTATATGGTCCGGAAATGCCCAATCTGAGAAATTCACATAAAAATTGGTCCTGGACTAATGAATGGGCAGGGAAAATGCCAGAGCAAAATTCCCACAATCCATGCTGCAGACAATTCCTACAGAAAAAATGAGACCCACTGAGATCACAAGTTATAAAAGCACATCAAAGGGGCGGATTCTAGCCCCAAGGACTAGAAATAATAGAAAAATTCAAAAGAATATAATTGCGTATGTTTAAAATGAGAGAAAAAATAATCAGATGCCAAAACTACATTTGATAAAATTCAACATTCAATCATGATTTTTTTTAATAACAAAACAAACAAGAAAAGACTTCCTACAAATCTAAGAAAGACATTTTCTTGTGTGGTACATATACACCATGGAATACTATGCAGCCATAAAAAGGAATGAGATCATGTCCTTTGCAGGGACATGGATGGAGCTGGAAGCCGTCATCCTCAGCAGACTAACACAAGAAAAGAAAACCAAACACTGTATTTTCTCACTTATAAGTGGGAGCTGAACAATGAGAATACATGGACACATGGGAGGAAGCAACACATACTGGGGCCTGTGAGGTGTGGGGTAGCATCAGGAAGAATAGCTAATGGATGCTGGGCATAATACCTAGGCGATAGGATGATGTGTGCAGCAAACCACCATGGCACACATTTACCTATATAACAAACCTGCACATCCTGCACATGTACCCTGGAACTTAAAATAAAAGTTGAAGAAAAAAAAAAGACATTTTCTTAACCCAATAAAAGGCACACATCAACCAACCCAGAAGCAGCACTTATTCTTGGTGGCACAAGCTCTCCTTTTAAAGCCAGGGATGAGACAAGAAAGGTTACTATCACTGCCTCTGTTCAACCCTGTTTTGTGAAGATAGGCAAACTTTCTGTAAAGAGCCTGAAGGCAGGTATTTAGGCTTTGCAAACTAGGTAGTCTCTGTTGCAACTATTCAACTCTGATGTTATAATACAATGGTACCACAGACAACATGGATGTGGCTGTGTTTCAATAAAACTTTATTAACAAAAACAGGTGATATCATGAAAGTCCAAGTCAGTACATCAAGACAAGAAAAAGAAGTGAATGCCACATAACATGAAAAGGAAAAGACCTGTCATTATTATTAAAAGATTTTATCTGTCTGCATAATGTATGAGTATCTAAACCATGAAAATTAATGAGTTCAGCAAGATATACAAAAATAACATTCCTATACACCAGCAATAATAGGAAAAGATACAATAAAAAGATATCATTGACAGCAACAAAAAATGTGGGATAAAAAAATTTAAATCAGCTGGATGTGGTGGTGAGCACCTGTAGTCACAGCTACTTAGAAAGAAGCTGTGGCACAAGGGTCACTTGAGCCCAGGAGGGTTGAGGCTGCAGTTAGCTATGATTGTACCACTGCACTCCAGCCTGGGAGATCTTATCTCAAAAAAAGGAACAAATGAAAGAAAGAAATGAGATACTTACAAAGACATTTAACAAAGATATGTAAGAAAAGTATGGCAAAAATTACAAAATTCTACTGAAAGACCTAAAAAGAGAACTAAATAAACATAGCTATACCATAGTTGTAGATGAGAAGACCCAGGATAAGAGAGCAAATTCTTACGATTTATCTGTAAACCATCTGAGTAATTCCAACAAAAGCCCAATAGGGCTTCCACATTCCTAAAATACAGTTTAAAGTATAATGAGCTTAGAATAGCCAAAAAAAATTCCAAAAAAGAAAACTGAAGTGAAACTTAAACTACCCAAACCTATAAGACCAAGGTAATTAAAATAGGGTAGAGCCAGAGTAAGCAAACACACCATTAACAAAGAACAGTCGGGCGCGGTGGCTCACGCCTGTAATTCCAGCATTTTGGGAGGCCGAGGAGGGCGGATCACGAGGTCAGGAGATTGAGACAATCCTGGCTAACACGGTGAAACCCCATCTCTACTAAAAATACAAAAAATTAGCCGGGCGTGGTGGCAGGCACCTGTAGTCCCAGCTACTCTGGAGGCTGAGGCAGGAGAATGGCGTGAACCCGCGAGGCAGCACTTGCAGTGAGCTGAGATCAAGCCACTGCACTCCAGCCTGGGGAACAGTGCGAGACTCCGTTTCAAAAAATAAAAATAAACATAAAAATAAAATAAAGAACAGAAGCCACACACAGTCACACGTGTTTGGGAATGTGGTGTATGACAGTGGGAAAAGATTTGATACATGTAACTGAGACAACTGGACATCCATATGGAAAAAGATAAAAGTGGATTCCAATGTTACATATACACAAAAATCAATTCTAAGTGTCTGTGAAACACTACATTTGAAAACTTTAAAAGAATGTATAGGAAATTATTCTTATGACATTGGGATAGAGCAGTATTTCTTTTTAAAAACACATAAAAAAGTACAAGCCACAAAGGAGAAATGGATAAATATGATTACATTAAAATTTAGCACGGCTGTTTAATTAGAGACATCATAAAAAGTCAAAACATAAGCCACAGAGTAGTAAAGATATTTGGGGCCCATTAAACTGACAAAGAATACTAGATTATAAATGATTCTTATAAATCATTAATAAAAAGGCCAATGGCAATAGAAGGACTAGCAAGGAATATAAATGGGCAATTCACAAAAGACGAAACTCAGACGGCCACTGAGTACAGAAGAGACACTCAATCACACTAGAACGCAGAGAAATGCAATATAAAACAATGAGATACAATTCTGTGCCAATCGGATTAGCAAAAATTAAAAATCTGATAACTAAGAGGATATGGGAAACCACCAATGGAAGCATAATTACAACTGCTTTGGAGAGCAATTTGGTAATGTCCACTAAGTTAAAATGTGCACGTTCTAGAACCTAGCCATTTTTCCTCTGAGTACTGGCTCTAGACAACCTCTAGTACATATTTCTAGATAGATATGCACACAGTTACTACTGTATCACTATTTGTAATAACAAAAAAGGTGAAAGCATCTGAACTTTCTCTCAGGTGAACAGATGAAGACTCTTGATTTATTCGTATATACTGGAATCCTATGGAGCAGTTGCTATAGTTTGGTTTGCTTGTCCTCTCCAAATCTCATGTTGAAATTTGATCCCCAATGTTGGAGGTTGGAACTGATGGGAGGTGTTTGGGCCATAATGGCGGATTCCTCATGAATGGCTTGGTGCTGCCCTTGCAGTAATGAGTTAATTCACTCCACTAGTTCCCTCAAGAGCTGGTTGTTGAAAGGAGCCTGGCACCTCCCTTTCTCTCTCTTTCTCTCCTCCCCTCCTGAAATGTGATCTGCTCACACTGGTTTCCCCTCACCTTCCTCCATGAGTGGAAGCAGCTGGGAGCCCTCAGCAGAAGCAGATGCTGGCACCATGCTTCCTGTACAGCCTGAAGAACCAGGAACCAAATGAACTTCTTTTCTTTATTAATTACCCAGTCTCGGGTATTCCTTTATAGCAACACAAATGGACTAAAACAGCAGTTAAAACAAATCAACATGGATAAACCTCAAAGACAATGTTAGAAGGACACACACAAGATAATTCCTTTAAATTTCTAAACATTTCCTCAAAAGGTACAAGCACACCTGGGAATGAAGCATGGCAACATTGGCAGAAGTATGAATATTGATGGAAAAAGGGGAGAAGGCAGACGGGTATGGAGGGAAGCGGGGGGTGTTTAGGAATATCTAAAACACTGTCTTTCAAAGAAAAAACAGGGAAGGAGAGCAAGATGAAAGAACACACGCAAACAAACACAGCACGTTAACATCTGTTTAACATCCATGCTGGGAACGTGCCTATCTGGCATGTAATGTTGTGTTCTGTAGGCTTGGACTATTTCATCATTTCAAACATTATTTTAAAAGGAAATCATGTTTAGAACAAATGCTCAAGTCTCATGACATTATTAAAAGGCCTCTAAAACCATATGTTGCCCTAAACAAAACCAGCACTCTCTGCCCTCATCACCCACCTCAGTTGTTGCACTTGATGCCAGTGACTCTTCACTCTTTCCAAAAATCAAAGCCTCATACAAAGAATGAGTATTTGTTAGACTCAAAAATATTCACAAGAATGTGCCACATGCTTTAAAGGTAATTTTTAAAGGATTCCGGAAATGTTTGGGGCAATAGCAACATCAATGGAAGCATCAAAGAGTTCTATCTATCCCAAGGTCACTACTTTGAAGACAGCAAAATCCATTTAGACTGTGTGTCTGACTTTTTTAATTCAGCAGCAGCAACTAAAGTCATTCCTCTCTTAACTGTCAACATTATCCAATATCAGAGTCAAGGCACTGCACTGAGAACGCCCTAGGAGTGGACGTTGGGGCCAGCATTATAAATTATGCCATATCCTTACAAAGAGCATGTCATTCAACACAAGGCTCACACGGTGGTTGTAAATTACTGCAGATCCTTGTGCTGTCCAAGGGGGATTTACCTAGGTATTTTTCTCAGAAAATGGGAAACTTATTAATCAAACACTGAGCCCTATGGGTCGGCAGAAAGGAAACACGATTTTCACAGTGAGCTCAGACCCAGCAGCTGCAATAAGGACTGAGCACACACAAGGGAACAGCACATGAATTAAAGAACACGACCAGCACGGAGTAAGGGATTCACTTTGAGCAACAGCCTCTTGCATTATTTCTGAATCTATAATCAGGAGAAAAGCCTGAAGGCCCCAGCCCACTTTGCAGACAATAATTTCATTGTCAATTGTCGGTTCATCACACAAAGCCTTCATTATGTTTACAACATACATTGCAATACATTCAACAAAGTATAGATATATTTGCTCATGAATATTTATGTATTTCACAAATATTCACTGAGTGCCTACCACGGCCCAAGAGCTGGATCTGTACACAAATAGTAAAGTGAAATAGCTCCATCCTTGCCCTCACTGAGCCTGTGATAAATTAACTACATTGTTCACAAACGAAATGGCAAGTTTCTTCTAACAAGACTAATTCTTCCTTCATTTGTCAATATATGAATCTGCCTACTGAAGGACTCCTATTTACCTTTTAAATTTGCAAGATTACAGACTATCCCTATAAACTACCATATGTTGAGATAGCTGTGTTCATGGTTCCTGGATGTAAGAACTGATCAAATGGAAAATGGAGTCATTAATGTGTCATTCACCTTACTGAATACTATAACTATGCTTTATTTTATGGTTGTTGTTGTTTTTTTTTTTTTTTTTTTTTTTGGAGACGGAGTCTTGTTCTGTCACCTAGGCTGGAGTGCAGTGGCGTGATCTTGGCTCACTGCAACCCCCACCTCCCAGGTTCAAGAGATTCTCCTGCCTCAACCTCCCGAGTAGTTGGCATTACAGGCACGTACCACCACACCCAGCTAATTTTTGTATTTTTAGTAGAGATGGGGTTTCACCATGTTGGTCAGGCTGGTCTCAAACTCCTGACCTCAGGTGATCCGCCCACGTCAGCCTCCCAAAGTGCTGGGATTACAAGCATGAGCCACTGCACCTGGCCCTATGCTTTATTTTATAGGAGCCATTAGATGATTAACTTGGCTTACTTGACAAGAGAAATACCTTATAAACAATTGCTAAAATTTATTGTTTGCTTACACTATTATTTGTTTATTGTTTGCTCACAACCACCCAGCAATGTTGGTATTAGTGTTTCCCCCAGTTTACAGATGAGGGGAAATGAGGAATAGAGAGGTTCACAACTAGCCCAGAGTCACACAGTAGTAACTGGTTGAGGCACAATTCAAATTCTGTCCTGAGTTCTTCACCATTACACAAAATTGCCTTTGCCTTAGAGACAGACAACAAAGGTAGAGGTAAAACCTCACCTATGAAAGGAAGGTGCTACTTTTAGGAATCTTGTCAGGAAACATCACAGATATGTATGGTGTGGCTAACAGCATCTGGTTTTCAGAACTGTTTATAACAGCAAGCAGAGAAGTGGGGAAAATGGTGCAAGAGCCTAAAAATCCAACAGCACATGAATTAAGGTATCAAAATAAATTATTTTTATATGTTCATATAATAAGGCCATTAAAATATATGGGGAAAGAGTTTAGTATCTAAGGAAATGTTCATGACATTCTTTAAAGTTCAAAGAGCAAGGTATAAAAGTTTTACAAATTATAAATACATCATGATCTTTCCTTTTTTAGAAGAAAATCATGTCTATGTGTATAGAAAACTAGCTGCAAAGAAGATACAATAAAACATTCATTATACTTACCTCTGAGTGGTCATACCACAGGTGATTTTATTAACTTTTGCTTGTCTAAATTTTTTTTAAATGTTCTCTACAAAACAGAAACCCACCTAATAAGCAATTAAATGAGAAGTGCCAATCAAATCACTTATATCCAAAATAATATCAAAGACTATTTATAAAATGCCTACTGATACATAATTGTTATTGGTTTTCATATCTTTTTGGTTGTGTTCCCAGCCACCCAAAAATTTGAACAGATTTCCAAACATGAATATTTAATTATTTCAAAATTACATGTATTCCCTTAACTTCATATACACTTAAAATTTCAGAAAAACAAAAAAAAGTAAATAGAACTTCTAATATCTTATTTTCAGATCCTAATGGACTATCATCCACAAACCCTGAGAAACAATAGACCGTTAAATACACTATTACCAAAGTACTGAAAATAAGTTACAGTCACCCCTCAGTATCCCAGGAAGATTGCCTCCAGTACCCCCCCAGAGGATACCAAAATCTGCAGATGCTCAAGTCTCTTATATTAATATAAAGTGGTGTAGTATTTTCATATAACCTATGCCACCCTCCTCTATACTTTAAATCATCTGTAGATCAGTTATAATACCTAATACAATATAAATGCTATGTAAATAGTTGTTATACTCTATTGGGTTTTATTTGCATTATTTTTTTTTTTTATATTTTTGAGCTACACATTTTTTGACAAATATGAATTCCTTCCAATCTCCTGGGTTTTTGTTGGATCTCTGGAATTGCCTTCAAAGCTGTATTCCACTCATAGAACCTAATTCAAGGGAATGCCATGAGCAAAATGGAGGCAGGAAAGCAAGAGCAGGTAAGGAGAGAAAGTTCACCCTCCTCGGGAAACAGTCATCGGAGGCTTTCAAATGATGCCATCATGAGGCCACAATTTCACTTTCGAAAGATCCATCAGGCCCAAGTATATGGGATTGAAAGCAGGACTAGAACCCTTTGAAACAAAGGTAGATGATTCTCTGACACAAGAAAAAACAATAAAAATTGTAAAAAATTAGATGGAAAGAAGATAAATGAGAGAGCTTCTATTAGATCACCCTGGGATTCTCATGAAACTCATAACCAAGGTCATCTGCTGAACCGGAAGGAGACTCAAAGAGGAGGAAAAGGATCTGTCAAAGGACAAAATTACAACAAATTTACTTTCAGGAGCTCAAGTAGCTTTATTTGCAATTTTAGAATAGAACAACACTTCATTCCATTAAATATTTTGGTGCAAAAGTATTGCGGTTTTGCCATTAATAAGTGCTGCAATGAGTGGGCAGAGATGGTTGGCTTTGTAAGCAGAAAAGGGCTAGAGAAAGCAGAAACACAGAACAAAAGCAATTGGTCATTGCATAGTTACTTTCTTTGTAATCCAGGAACAGGAAAACAGAACAATAGAGAAAAAAATATCTAGTTAACATCACGTTCCTTCAGGTTACTTTTTGTTGTAAGGATTAAAGCAGAGAGAACTTCATCAGGCTGATTGAAGATTGAAACTGCCCTGTTTGGAAAATTAGATTGTTATCTTCCTCCCCTGATTTATTGGAAGGTGACATGGAACTTTAGCATGAGTGACTCCATTTTGATTTTCAATCTGGTTTGTTGGGGCCAAGTGCAGAAGCTTAGTCCAAAACGATGGCCCCCTGTAATTTTTATTTAACAGTGCCAACAACTAGCAAGAAGTGTGCCACAGGAATGAGTATGGGGTGGGGGGCGGTCTATGTGTATACCTGTGCACACACTCAAATACACCTTTAGATTAAAATAATTTTTAACTGTAAATGACTCAAAGAAGTCTACTTTCAGTGTATACTTTGAGTTTTTTCCCTACATTAAACTCATTTTAGTGGAAATGGTTCCTATCTTTCTATAAAGTCTATTTCAAGACAGTTTGCAGAAGCTGGGAAAGTGGGGTGCAATGTAAAATGGAAAGTTAATTTGTCTGAACTTTCCTCAAGGCAATCATATGATAGAGTAAGAGGCAAGACTCGATATGGAAATATTAATATCTTATAAGGCCCTGAAACATTTGGTAATTAATTTTTCAGCAGGAAGAAGTTTTTATTTCAATAGTAAGAATAGCTACCACTGCCATGACATAGAAGGGAGAGAAAATAAAAATCAAAGGACCTAAGAAGTGAGTAAAAGAGAAGAGGCATGGTCATACACTAATTCTTATACCCATGGATCTCATTCAACAGGGAAGATGGCAGAACCTGACAACGTTAAGGCAGGCTGCTGCCACTGCGATTGATTCTTCTAGGCCACAGAAAAAAGAGAGTAAGCCTGCTTCATAATACCAAGCCAGGATTTAGATTCCTCCAGCAAAGGAACCAAATGGACTATGAACTTCTTCAAAGGCAGAAATAGTGTCAAGTCACTCAACAAATATTTCTTTAACACCTATGTTCCAAGACACTAAACTAAATGCTGGGAAGAGAGAAATGACTGGCTTCCAGAATTAGTTACCTATTGCTGTGAAGCAAACTACTCCAAAACTCAGTGCCTCAACATAACAAATATTTATTATCCTATGGTTTCTGAGGGTCTAGGAAGATCTAGGTGCTCCTAGCTCAGGAGCTCTGGGTTGGAGGTCCTCAAGACCACCCCCAGATTCAGTGATGGCTAAGAGGATTCACAGGACTCATATAATATTATTCATAGCTAGGATTTATTATAGCAAAAGAATATAAAGCAAAATCAGCACCTTTTCTCTTTGCCAGACAAGGAACCAAATGCAAGTTTCCAAGAGTTCTCTCGCTGTGGAATCACACAGCATGGGCTTAATTCCTCCAGCATCGTATTGTGACAAGTGGAAAATGCTGTCTACCAGGGAAGCTTATCACAGACTTAGTGCTCAATGTTTTTGTCTGTTTTTTTTTAGAGTTTGGGGTGGGGGGTCTCACTCTGTCACCTAGGCGGGAGTTCAGTGGCACAGTTAATGGCTCACTGCAGCCTTGACTTCCTGGGCTCAATCTTCCCACTTCAGCTTCCCGAGTATCTAGGACTACAGGTGCACACTACCATGCGTGGCTAATTTTCTGTTTTCAGAAATGGCATCTTGCTCTGTTGCCCAGGTTGTTCTTGAACTCCCAGCCTCAAGCTACCCTCCTGCCTCAGCCTCCTGAGTCACTGGGATTATAGGCGTAAGCCAGCACTCCTGGCCCAAGGTTTTTACTGAGGGTTGCTCATTACACACCCTCTGCCTAGCACATATAAAAATCCAAGACTCCCATATGGAAAGCAAGTGCTCAGCATAAATAATATTGTTTACAGTTTAGGCACAGTGAACCACTCTTATCCATTAGGAAATGGTGTCAGGCCTCCCCTAAATCCAAATTCCTGGATGCCAGCCAAGCCAATTTTGCAAGAAGTCTTTGTAAGTACAGAAGTCTAAGGCCTACAGCAGTTTTTTTCTACATAGTATCTCATGAGGTTACAGTCAAACTGTCAATCTGGTCTGCATCATCTGAAGCCTTGATTGGAACTAGAGGGTCACATGGCTATTGGCTGGAACTGCTTCACCATGTGGGCCTCCACCAGACTGCCTGAATGTCCTCAACTTATGGCAGCTGGCTTTCCCCACCGTGAGGGATCCAGGAAAGCACGGGATTAGAGCAGGACCAAAATGGAAGCTTCAGTCTTTAATAAACTAATATTGAGAGCGACATACCATCACTTATGCCATTTGCAATTGGTCACACAGGCCAACCCTAGTACAATGTGGGATGGGGAGGGGATTAACAACTCTGTGAGTCCAGGAGTCAGAGATCAAAGGGAGCCATCTTGGAGGCTGCCTAACACAGGACACCCTTTGGCTCCCAAGGACTCCCACCCCTCCTACTGTCCCCAAAAGTCTCATCCCAACAGAGCATCAGTTCCAAGTCCAGACCCTCATCATCTAAATCAGCCTTCTTGGGTGTAGTCTCTGACATACAACAATTGAATGTGGTTCTTCTTGATATAGAGGCATGTGCAAATAAAGAAACAAGTTATCTGGCCCCATGCACCCAACATGCAAGGGCAGGATAAGGAGAGGATAACTGCCATAGACACTCCAACTCACAAAGGGGAAAATGGGAAGTATGCAAGGATAGTAGTTCTGAAATCCAGGCAAGCAAATGATGGAAGCTCCTTGATTTGGTCTCTAATTAAGGCCTAGGAATATTTCTCTATGGCTTTAGTCTCACCCTTTGAAATCTTGAGTGTGCCCTCTCAGGCATCCTTTCATTTTCATGAAAGGTAACATGTGCTTGGGGAGTTAGTTTTCTCAGTCTGCTTTTTACTTGTTGACACTTGGTGGTCCAAAGGCCTCTCTGCATTTTGTACTCTTTATGTCTCTTTTCTTTCCAGCTGATGGTGTTTCTTCAAGCACAACCCCCTTTCAACTCCATGGGTCTTCTGGGAATCCCTTTAGGCTTAATTCCACTACACAAAAGCCACACCCACAAATCTCTTTGAAACAGGTCCTTCTTGAGCTTGGACTGAGGTACAATGTCTGTGAGCTTCCAGGGAGCACTACTGGTTGATAGAGAGGATCTGTAAGGCAAGCCCTTCGTCCAAGGGTGTCTAATCTTTTGGCTTCCCTGAGATACATAGGAAGAAGAACTGTCTTGGTCCGCACATAAAATATACTAACAATAGCTGATGAGCTAAAAAATAAAAATAAAAATAAAGGTCCACGCATAATGTTTTGAGAAAGTTTACAAATTTGTGTTGGGCCACGTTCAAAGCCATCCTGGGTTGCACGCAGCCGGCGGGCCAAGGGTTGGACAAGCTTGTCTTAGTATCTTTAGGTTTTTCTGACTAAACAGTATTCTGAGACACTATCTTTGTTTACTGAGATGTTAAGAAAAGACTTTATAGTCGCATCCTTGGCTTAATGTTTGGACCTTGTTTTCCTAAAAGTGCCCTGAATTTGGTCTTTGCTCAGATGCCATTTCTTAATTTTAGCATCACGTACCATGTGGGGAGGCTGGGAATCTTTAAAACCAGCAAGTCCTGGCTCTTTTTTATTTAATAGTTTTACCTTCAGTTTCTCCTCTCTTCTTGCAGTTTTACTCTAAGCAACAGGAAAAAAAAAAAATCAGAAAGCACTTTCAGCACTCTGGTTAGAAATCTCCTTAACTATATCACCAGTTTATCAGGCACATTTTCTACTTTCTACATTACTGCAGGTGACAGTGTTGTTAATTTTTCTTTCTTTTTTTTGCCACTACGTAACAAAGATTCTCTGTTTTCCAGTTTCCAATAGGATTTCTCCCATTTTCCTTGAAGCCTTCAATGGCAGCCTCCTCAAAGTCCAAACTTCTATGGACAGTGTGTTCAAGGCACTTTACACTTTTACTAACATGGTCCTTAATCCTTACAGCTTTTCCACAGCCCGCTGCCTCGTTCAAAGTCCTATCACATTTTAGTTTCTTGTTACATAAGCACTGCACCTCTAGTACCAATGTGGATTAGTTATCTACTGATGCATAATAAACTATCCTAAAACTCAAAACTGAAAACAACAAGAATTTATTGTTTCACGTATTTTCTGAAGGTCAGGAATTGGGAGCCATTTAGACGGACGGTTTTGACTCAGAGTTTCTTATGAGTTTGCAATCAAGCTGATGGCCAGGCCTGTAATACCTGAAGGCTTGACAAGGGGGAGGATCTGCTTCAAAGCTCACTCACATGTGTGTGGCCAGCTTCCATTTTTTATTAGCTCTTGCCACATGAGCCTCTCTGCATACATTGCCTATCGTCACAACAGCTAGCTTTCCATAGGTTAGTGGGCCAAGAGAAACAGCCCAACACGGAAACCTCTGTCTTTCAAAACCTAATCTTGGAAGTGACATATGGTCGCGTCTGTCATCATCTATTTGTCAGGGGCTTGAATATGAGGAGGTAGGGACTGTTGGAAGAGTGTTGGTGGATGGCAACCATATTTCCTATCTGGTGGTCTAATGCATTGGTAGACATCAATAACTACTTAAAATAAGATTTAATAAGAGGCATAATAAACATAAGGAGAAGTCAGCACCAGCTTACCCTGGGAAAGTCAAGGTGGGCATCACAGAGAAGTGATGTTTAATTTAGGACCTAAAGGATAGATGAGATTTGTCAGACACATTGAAGAGCTCCTGCCTATAGGAAGCATTTGCATGCATTTCTCTTTTTGCATGTCCTACCTGCTTGGTAAATTTTATAGCCTCAAAGCTTTTTCCAAGGACAAATATAGAGTCATTTAATTTAACATCAATATTTTTGGAGGACACATTACTATTTAATAGATGAGTCAAAAGCATAATGGTAGATGATGGATGCTAGGCTTGGAAATGCATCATCTAAAGGCCAAACTTTGCTTAAGAAAAAAAAAACAATAATGAATAAAGTAAAAATGTACATCTTGATAACAAATGCAAGAGTCAGAATATTTGTCCTAATTAGGTAAAGCATACAAAAATTTCAACACAGAATTGTGATTATTTAAATAGGACAGCAGGAAGAAAGACATGGAGAAAGAAATGCTATCCAAAGGACCCTTCAAATGAAATAGATGCAAGAATGGATATAAAATAGGTCAGGCAAGTGCACTGAGATATTAAAAGCTTTTTTAAAACATTTCTCATTATAAGAGAGATATGATCTCATTATAAAAATCTGTAAAGTATAAATAAGCACAAGAAAGAAAATAAAAATCACCCGTGACCTCAAATTCTAGGGATAACTACTAATTGGATTATAGGCTGTTTCATTTTAGGTTGCTGAATGAATAGGGAGATATAGATAGATAGATAGATAGATAGATAGAGATATGCAGGTGTGTAATCTTGGAAATATGTAATTTTTGGAAATAGCTCTATGCTCTTTATGAATATAAAATTAACACATAATTAAATAACATGTAATACTTTCTAAGTATAAATATTATAAAGAGATATGAGTTAGACAATAAAATTCACCCATAATTCTTATACTCAGGGGGAAAAACACTGTTTACCATTAACATCTGATATTTTTCTCAAAGTCATTTTTCAATGCAAATGTTTTAATGCAAAAATAGGCTCACACTATTTTATTAATGGCTTCTCTCATTAGAAGTACATAGGTATGTACCAGAACTTATTTAACCAATATTTTATTAATGACCATTTGTGCTTCTCCTAATTGCCAGCAAGACCCAGGCAATTACAACTTATGCACACATTTTTACATACTCTTCTGTTATTTCCTCAGGATAAACTTCTAGAATTAGATTTGTTATGTCAAAAGGCATTCGCTTTTTATGAATTTTTATCTACATTGCATTGGTAGACACATGAATGGAGGCCAAATGGTCCACCATTCGTGTTACACCAATGGACATACCAAGAGGATCAGAATGCCTTCTTTTATGTTTGTTTTATTTATTTATTTATTTACTTTGAGACAGGGTCTTGCTCTGTCACCCAGGCTGGAGTGCAGTGGCATGATCTCAGCTCACTGCAAGCTCCACCTCCTGGGGGTCAAGTGATTCTCTCACCTCAGCCACCTGAGTAGCTGGGACCACAGGTGTATGCCACCATGCCTGGCTAATTTTTGTAGAGACAGGGTTTTACCATGTTGCCCAGGCTGGTCTTGAACTCCTGAGCTCAAGAAATCCACCCACCTTGGCCTCCCAAAATGTTGGGATTACAGGCATGAACCACTGTGCTGAGCTTGAGAGTGTCTTCTGCCACTACCTTCACCATTACTGAGCAATAGCAATTATTTTTCATCTTTGCTAATATAATAAGCAAAATATAGTTTTAACTTTCATTCTTTCAGTTGCTATTAAGACTATATTTTCAAATGTTAAAAAGCATTTGAATTTCTTCTTTATGAATTATGCATTCTTGTGTTCTATCAAATTCTGGAGGTGTTCACTGTTTTTGTTTTAATTTGTAAGTGCCCTCTCAGCCACCCAGGTGCACCATCCATTCATATTTTTTAAAGCCTAGTAGCAAAATCTTAACAGAACATAAATAAGAACTACAACGTCAGTAAATGGTTGAGCCAAGTTCAACTTTTTTTCAATCCAAAGTCCAGGCATTTCCCATGATGATGTATACTATGCTGACTCCCCTTCAAGACTGAAAGCAGCCATTCCCAATCTGTGTTGCCCATTCAAACCTCCTGGGGAGCTTTGGAAGCATTCCACTTGTCTCTTACCCCATACCAATTAAATCAGGCGTAGTATTTTTGAGGATGCAAAGGTGATTCCAGTGGAGAGCAAAGTTTGGCAAAGTATGGACTGAGCATTTCACCCCTCAGCTGCTGGCTCTTAGCTCTCAGCTGTCAACCTTCTCTGACCCTTGGCTGGAGAGAATTTGTCCAAGCTCATGCGCCGTCCTGGGAGCTGAACCCTATGACTGAATGATATGGTACAAAGATCCATCCCTGTTGCCCCAACTTGGGAAATGCCAGTTCCAGAGTTCCACTGGGTAGGGTGAGGCCTTCCAATGACAACACAGTACACGTTCTCCTTTTACCCAGTCCTCCCTCCATCCCTTCCCCCATCCCCTAGAAGTGTTGCTCCTGAGACTCTGGCAATGTCCCACATGCTACTATAAGAGGCTGCTTTCTGGAGGAACCTAACCTGTGTCACCTACTGTATGGAACTGCCCCTTAAAAAATAAACTTTCCCTGAAAAAAAACAGACTAAACAAAATCTTCCTTAAAGGTTTTATATACATCCAAAGCTAATAATCAAGGTATGTTTAAAAATTCTTTCACGGGGAGGTGTTGATTAATAAGTACACAGTTTCTGTTTGGGATGATGAAAAAGTTTTGGAAATAGGTAGCAGTGACAGTTGCACAAAACTGTGAGCATAATTAGTGCCACCGAACCGTACATTAAGAATGATTAAAGTGGCAAGTTGTATGTTGTGCATAGGGCCATGATTTTTACAAAGTAATAATATACCAACAACGTCGAATGGTAAATTTTGCATGGGTGGATTGTATAGTATGTGAATATCTTAATAAAGATGTTTTTAGGAATCCTTTCACTGCAGTGTGAGTACCTGGTGGCCAGTGGGTAAGTAAAATAGTAGCCGCAGCTCTACTAATCCATAGAACAATGACAATATTTTAAAGCCCTCATTGAGGGGTTCTCTTTCACTCATTGTCTCATTCTCCAAAATATAGAAACAAAATACTTATTGATTTGTACTTTATGTATCTTCAGTCAGCAGTAATTCAGGATTTATATGCTAAGTGATACAGGGAAAAGAATAAGCAGTTTCTTGGGCCAGTTCCCAGGGCTAAGAATATTTAAAGACTACTGAGAGCGAAGATATTGGCAATGTCACTGAATTCGATTTTGCAGTAGTACGAGTGTTCAGTGTAACTGAAGCATAAGCTCACACATACAGAAAACCACCATGACTCTAGATGATAGGCTCATTTCTACAGGAGGAACAAAACAAGCTTTTTTATAAAAACAAGCATGCACCAAAGGCAGAAGTGTCCAGAGGATAATGTATGCAAAAATCTGTCTCCCCAGAAACACACAGTCTACTGCCACACCTCCAGGATTTATAAAGTACTTCACATTTGCAGCCTCCTCCATAATCATTGTCATTAGCCATCCCCAAGGAGCCCAGGGGTTCCCATTTTTTTTTTGAAAAGTTGGCAAGACTCTTGCCTCAATGCATACCCTTCTTTAACAAGAGACTTCCATTCAATAAAGGCCAAACCTCAGATAAGAGTAACTATCATGTAAAGACTGTGGTTTCTGCTTCTGGGCCCTCTCCACAATCAACGTACTACCAGAAACCAACCTGATGTTATACAAACCTTAGACACTGAAATGCTTAAGGATTAAAGAAAACACTAATGTCTAAAATGCCACTCAAAGCAGAATAAATCTGCAGCTGGAAAATCTGACCTTTAGCCCTGAATCTGCCTCTAATAAGCTGTGTGATCTGGGGCTAGTTAGTAAGTCACTCTGAATCCCAATTTCTTTATCAGCATTTGGACTTCCTACTTGGGGTGCCTATCTCTCAATAGGCAGAAAGTGAGGTAGAATGAGATTAAGGATGCTGGGCACAGTGGCTCACGTCTGTAATCCCAGCACTTTTGGAGGCAAGGGTGGGTAGATTGTTTGAGACCAGCCTGGGTGACATGGCAAAACCCTGTCTCTACAAAAAATACAAAAATTAGCCAGGCATGGTGGTGCAGGCCTGTAGTGCCAGCTACTTGGGAGGCTGAGGAGGGAGGATCACTTGAGCCCAGGAGATAAAGGTTGCAGTGAGCTGAGATTGCACTGCTGAATTCCAGTCTGGGCAGCAGAGGGAAACCCTGTCTCAAAAAAAAAAAAAAAAAAAAAAAAAGATTAATGGATGTCTAAACACTTCAAAGACTAAAGTTCTGCACAAATGTGAAAGAGTACTTACAACACTTCTTATCTCTAAATATCTCCAGAGAAACGTAACTTAGGGCCCTTTAGGTGCAAAACAACTGTTTAAATATAGATGAGGAAGAGAATTCCACCAGGGGAAAAGTACTCATTCAAGTTATCTCTTCTAGCATCCATTTCAGAAACCATACAAGACTCAGATGATTGTATTATGGAAGCCACAAACCAAGGTGTAAAAGAAAATAAGAGAATATGTCTTTAATTTGGACTGATAACATCATTTCCATCTGAAACTCTAGAGTTAGTTTGGTGAGTTGTTTTATTGACTTTTGCTGTTGTTGCTGCGTTGTGTGTGTGTGTGTGTGTGTGTGTGTGTGTGTGTGTGTGTGTGTGTGTGTTCTGTTTTTATTTATCTTAGAAAGCATTGATATAAAATACTCAGTTCCTTTTGGGATTTGGGCATAACGTTTTTTCTAGAAAAGGCCCTAGAGAGAACTAAATTTTCACAGAATTGCATAGCAATTCTCCAGTGTTATTTTTAAAGAATTCTATGAGGTAGGAAAAATCATCAACACACTGATTTCATATTCCACAAATGTGTAACCTCTGAGATTTCAAAGTCAGGGACTCATTGTTTCCCACTGAATGAAGACTCAGACTGGGACGAATACATGTTCCCAATTTAGCAGGGCCACCGCGACTGCGAGCAGTTGCTTAACAACTGCACACACTTGTGCGTGACCTCCCAGGTTGCCAGGAGCGGCCCCACGACAGGGCCAAAAGTGGAGTCAGACACAAACAACTGACCAAAAACCGAATCCTGAAATCAAGAGAGAACGAAACTAAAGGGTGTTCCTCTTTCAACTTGCTTTTTCTTAAGAAAAGTCTTGGGGAGAAATCAGGATATATTCTCAGACCAAGTTCTTTGTGGTCTTCTGGCACTGAAGAATTAATCCACTTTAAAACAAGCCACAAATTTCAATCTCCCATTTTCTCTCCTCTTTTCTTTCAATATGAAACTCCTCAAGAGAAGAACACACACTAAACAGCTCTCTCAGGGTCGCCCATGACCTTGAGATGTGGTCACCAAATCCAGTGGTTTTTCGAGTATTTCTTGACCTTTCTGTGGCATGCAACATTCCTGGCTCTTTCTTTTTCTGGAAATAGCTCCCTAACTTGACTCCTCTGGTACAACATCCATCCTGCCACTCTCACTACCCTGCCTACTACATTTTCCTATCTCTTGTCCCTCTCCCAGTTCTGGAATACCTTTGTCTCCTGGGTTCTCCTTCCGGCATCCTCCACTGTACACACTCCCTCAGAGAGCTGAGCTCTTACTTGGCTCTCTATCCACCTGTATGGGATGACTCCCAACCAACCCCATCTTGAAGATGAAGCCAACATTTCCAATCGCCTACTCCATATTTCCGTTTCTGCCCCTCAGCACCTCATATCCAAGATGGGGCCCATTACTTTACCCACAAAACAAGCTCCCATTCCTCAAATTTCCCAAGTATTGTTATTCATTTCATCTCTTCCCATCAAAGCCATCCTTCTATTCCACCTACATTTACAAGTTGCCCTGTCCCATGAATGGCCCAAGACTCATGTCCACTTCTTCCTTTGCATCCTCATGTAAAGATATTACAACAACCGCCTGAGCGAATTCTTGCTGGCTGTATCTTCTGACTTACACAAAATTCTGTAGAACAAAACCAGATAATTCTTCCTGAGGTAATGTGTGTATCACAACCCTGCTCGAAGACTATCAGTGCTTCCCCTTTTCCAAGTTCGGATTCCTAATCCTACTATCTAAGGTTCTCCCTGATCCAGTCTTATCTCCACTAACACCATAGAAGGTCACAATGTTCAGATGAGTTTCCATTTCTAGCTGTTTTCCTAAACTTCTCTTGCAGTTTTTGACTCCATCAAAAATTCTCTATTAGTTCTCATACTGCTATAAAGAAATACCTCATACTGGGTAATTTATAAAAAAAAAAAAAGAGGTTTAATTGGCTCATGCACTGCAGGCTGTACAGGAAGCATGATGCTAGCATCTGCTCAGCTGCTGGGGAGGCCTCAGGAAGCTTACAATCATGGCGGAAGGTGAAGGGGGAGCTAGGCAATTCACATGTCCAGAGCACGAGAAAGAGAGAGGGGAAGTGCTACACACTTTTAAACAACCAGAGCTCATGAGAACTCTATTGCGGGGATAGCACCAAGGGGACGGTGCTAAACCATTCATGAAGGATCCACCCCCACCATCCAACCACCTCCCACCAGGCCCCACCTCCAACATTGAGGTTATGATTTGACACGAGATTTGAGCAGGAACACAGAGCCAAACCCTATCAGCTCTTTTGACTCCTCCCTTCTCCATCTCCACCTGTTAGAGTTATACCTTTCTTCAACATCTAGCTAAAACTACTTTCACCATCATACTTCTGATTTCTCCTGTCAAAAATGCCTTGTATGCAAAAGCATTCCGCACCATCCCGGGAGCATTTACCATGGTCTGCACCAACAAAGTACATATTTTATCTCCTCTTTTAGATCACAAGCCTTGTAAGAGGAGAGGCTGAGCATCAGGATTTCCTGGAGAACATGAACTTTGAAAACTAAATAACCAGGACTTATTTTCACTTCGACTGACGCTCTCCGGTTTTAATTCCCTCATCTGTAAAAAAGAACCTACGATAATTATTGAGAATTGATTTGCTTACCTCAGAGGTCAATAAACTGTGGCCTTTAGGCCCCATCACTCATTTTAATTTAATTAACTAACTTTATCATTATTATTTTTTAGAGATAGGGTCTCACACTCTGTTGCTCAGGCTGGAGAACTGTGGCACAATCAAGCTCACTCCTGCCTCAGCCTCCCAAAGTGCTGGGATTACAGACGTGAAACACTGTGCCAGGCCTGATTTTATAAATAAAGTTTTATTGGAACACAATATGCTCACTCATTTCTGTATGGTCTCTGGCTGCTTCCACACTTCAATGGCAAGGCTGCAGAGAGACCACATGGCTCACTAAGACTGAAACAGTTCTTAACTTGACCCTTACAAAATAAGACCCCTTCTCTAGCTCCATTTCACACTCCTTTTAGGAAGAGAGGTGGTATAAAGATATCTTCCAGACTTCTCTGCATCTAGAGATTCAGGACTGAAGTGGATTCCACTAATTAAATGTACTCAAGCAAGGAGTTCTAGAAGGTGGAAGTGAGATGAGGGCCATGCTTTGGCTTCTATTTGACTGTTCACTGCTATCAAGGCAGGTCACGAAAACAGATTTCTTAATACAGTAGTGTCCAGCATCCTTCCTTCAGCTCCATGAAGGCCGAGAAAGAGCTGCAGCCATGGTGGCTTTCCAGTCCCAGCTTTTCGATGCCAGGGTGGCAGCTACAGGGATGTACTCTGACCTTAGTTCTATATTGTTCTGGGAATCTTTCCCTGGGGCTGCCCTTCCAGAGATTTTGTAATGTGAAAGGAAAATATCTTGGGCCCCCAAAGTCACTAAGTGAAAGGGAAAAGTCAAGCTGGGAACTGCTTAGGGCAAGCCTGCCTCCCATTCTAGTCAAAGTCATCCCTCTGCTCACTCAGATAGATGCATATCTGATTGCCTCTTTTGGAAAGGCTAATCAGAAACTCAAAATAATGCAACTGTTTGTCTCTCACCTATCTATGACCTGGAAGCTCCCTCTCCGCTTTGAGTCTTCCTGCCTTTGCTTCCAGTCGTCCCACCTTTCCACACCGAACCAATGTACTTCTTACATACATTGATTGATGTCTCATGTCTCCCTAAACTGTATAAAACCAAGCTGCATTCCAACCAGCTTGAGCACGTCGTCAGGCCCTCCTGAGGCTGTGTCATGGGTGCACATCCTCAACCTTGGCAAAATACACTTTCTACATTAACTGAGACCTATCTCAGATTTTCTGGGTCCATAGTAAGCACCTATTCCCTCTAGGAAATCCCTTCTTTAAAATTTATAGCCAAGTTTTCATGTCTTGTACTGAACTCTAACTGATACAGAGCCAAATTATAAAGATCTAGTTGAGTTCCTGAGAGATAAAATGGCATTGTATGTAAAAGTGCTTTATGAACAGTAAAGCTATTGCTACCTGTAAGTCTTTATCTCATTCCCAGAACTCTGACCCCCAGGCCTCTGACTCAGCACAGTGCCTCCCACCCCCGAAATGTTGATATTTTCTGCAGCACAAACCCTGGCTCTCTTCCCTTCTTGCTGCCTGAAAAATCTCATCTCTCCTTCTGGCTTCATTAACCATATGCACCAAGGGTTAACCTTTTTGAGGACACAGACATTTTGAAAAGTTGATACAAAGCTAGCTCTTCAGAACAATGCACATGCATTATGATTTTAATATAATTTCTGAAGTTCATAGGCCTTCTTAATTTTATCTATGTCCTTCTAGGCTATGAAGCCCTGACCCTCTATGCCAATGAGTGTTCAAACCTGTATCTCAAATCTGATCACTCTCTGGAGGTGAAGCCTGCTGTATACAACTGCGCTCTGGACTTCCCACAGGCATCTCAAACTCACCATGCCCAAGTGTGAATTTAACCTTCTCACAGCTCCTCTTCTCATCTATCACAAGTAAGTGGTGCCCACATCCCCTGGAGGCCTGAGCATCATTCATACATCTCTCCTTCCTTCCCCACAGACACCTAATTGCCAGGTTCTGACAATTCTACATCCCTAGTTGCTTCTGAATCTAGTCACCTCTCCATCTCAGGTGTCAGTAATTTGTCCTGCCACCACCATCTCTCAAGATTGCTGCAATAGCCATCGAATGGCCTCTCCTCTTCCACCCTGTCCTCTCCAATCCATTTCCTGCACCTTGGATCATGCATATCAAACCTCATCATGTAAAAACTAAGAACTCTATGTTATTCTCACCATTCAGCTCTGCCCAGGCCCCCACCTTGAAATGGCTCCATGCCACCCACCATACAAGCTAACAGTTCCCAGAACTGCAGTCCTTGTCACCCTCAAGGAGCACATGCTCCTCCCTCCCTGTACCATCCTTCGTCATCATTTTACTTCCTCCCGCCACCCCCTTCCTCCCCTACCTCCCACACTTTCCTCCTGGCAGACTCCTCATCCTTCAGTTCTCAGCTTAGATGTCACTTAATTCCCTTACTCATCAAATGTTTATTGACCGTCTGTTATATGTCAACCACTGGGCTAGGACAAGACATAGAGCAATAAAAAGACAGTCACAGTCCCTGTCCTGAAAACGCCCAATTTTACTGGGACATTAGATCAATAATGACAAGTCTGATGATCCCCCAGTTGCCCCCAGTCCCAACCTCAGGCTGAGTCAGGGTCCTTCCTCTCTGGGATCCCATAAACAACACCGGTAATCCCCCAGCTCCACCCACTGTTTCTCATAGGGTCTCTCTCAATGACTAGATTGCACATCTCTTACAGGCAGGACTGTGTCTTACCTACCACTTTATTTATCACTTACATCTAGTAATGGATCTGATGCCACATGTCTGAATAATGCTCCATTTACTTAACAAATCTCTATTGATTAATAAAAATTCAGTCAACAAATATTAGCTAAATAAGTCATCAGCACTGCTTAGGAGTGGCCCAATAAGGGGAATACAGCTGGGGGAAACAATTGGTGTGGGGAGGTTTGTCTGGGCTTTGTCAGTGTCCCAAATCACAAAAAAAAAAAAACACACTTCTAACGAACACCCGACTTGCTGCCTGGATTTCATGTTAAGCTACTATTTCAGCAGCCCTTCTTGCCTGCAGGATATACACCTGCATGCTCAACAGTGTACCTAATTAGAGGGATCCCCCGGTGACTCGGAAGGCCTCGGGAGGCCAGTCACCAAGCTGTGCCCTTGGTCACTGGAACCGAAACAACACAGAAGGCAGAAAGCACAGGGGACTCGGCAGCCAGGAGAGGCCCAGGAGCTCCACCAAGTGAGATCCCGGGAGCTTTGTCCAAACTCCTTGGTAGGCCAGCCCTGAATCTATGTGTATAAACTATGGCCACATTTTCTGAATGTGTGTCAAGCTGGTGGGGGATGGAGAGTAGCAAAGTAAAACCAAGAAGTAAATATGCCGTGCGTCATGAAAAATAATAAAGCAGTTTAGATAAAGGGTGACAAGATTTTCTTGACTACATAAGAATATAAGGGAACATTTCAGGTGCACCTGCTACGTGTCAGGTTCCAATCTCCTGATGCGCATTAAATCATTTAATTCTCTCAACACCCCTATGAGGCGAGCACCATTATTATCTCCATTTACAGACTGGGAAACGGAAGCACAGGGAGATCAAGGAAACTTCCCATGGCTGCCCCCAGCCAGTAAGCGACACAGCAGGACATAAACCGGACAGCTTGACTCAGAGAATGATCTGAAGCTTTCCACTTATGTCCCTGTGAGGCAGAGGCAATCACTTCCACCCTGCCAGGGGCCAGGCTCCAATGCCCACAGGGTCTGGCATGCGATGTCAAACAGGACCCAGGACACATTCTCTATGTTCAGGGGCAGCCCATCCATCTGGCCAATTATAGCCATGCAGTAACAAAGGCCTGGTGTTGCCAGATCTTCCTTATTTTCCAGAAGAACATAGAATTCCAGATTTTTTTTTCAATTGGGGATGAGAAAAGGGAAGAATTCCAGAGGGACTGAGAGGGACATGGTAACCATAATTTAGATGGGCTTATGAGGGAAAAGGGGTTTGGAGAGGAAAGATGTTCAGTTTTGACATGCTGAGTTGCTGGTGCTGAAGATGCCCAGAAGGCTGTGAGAACTCAGGAGTACAGATAAGAGAGGCAGCTCTTTGGTGACTCTGTTATCAGGCCACCCCACCTCAGCCCCCAGTTCCACATAGGACAGGGTCATCTGAAACATCCCGTCTTGCTGGCTGTAAGGACGGTGAAAACCTCAGGCTTGTGGTACTTTCTTGGGGCCACAGCAACAAAGTACCACAAACTGAGTGGCTTCAACAAAAGAAATGTATCGTCCCACAGTTCCAGAGGCTGGAAGTCTGGGACCTAGGTGTTGGCAGGGCCATGCTCCCTCTGAAGGCTCTGGGGAAGGGTATGTTCAGGCCTCTCTTCTAGCTTCTGGTAGTTCCTTGGCTTCTGACAGCATCATTCCAATCTTTCCACAATGTTCTCGGTGGGTGCAAGCCCAAATTTCCAGTGTGACGGCCAAATTGGATTAGGAGTCCACCCTACTTTTGTATGACCTCATCTTTACTAATTACATCTGCAACAATCATATTTCAAAGTACGTTCAAAGACATGGGCGGATAGGATGTCAACATATGGACTGGGTGGAGGGGGACACAATTCATACATAACAAGACTCTAAACAGTGGTTTCATGTCTCTCAGAGTCAGAATCCCTAACAACAAGATTAAGGTATGTCGTCATTTACCTTTGGAAAAGCACTGTATTCGAGGAATCCTGCAAGTCCTACAGGGAGAAACTATCCTACAAATAAGAAGGTTATGATTGACTTGAGAGTAATATAAATAACCATAAGAATCAAAGAGGAGGAGAGAAACTGCTTTTGTCTGTAAAAATAAAAAATTCTTCGTTAGGTACTACTTAACCTTGGTATTGAGGGAGGCCCAGAATTCTAACAGCGGGAGACTGAGGCTGGAGAAATCAAAGACACCCCAAGTAGACGGAACAGGCTAAACAAAGGAAAGGAAAGGAAAGTACAAACTGTGTTTGGATCAGGTCTGTTTGCCCAGATAATTGGGTATGTATAATGCAGTCATGTGATAGAAGACTAAACTATAGTTTGGCATCAGTTTGCAGAACCCTGAATTGGCAGGATAAGGAGTTTGGATATAAATTTGTAGGCAACTAGATGTAACTTTGGTGGCCAATAAAAATGGTTCTTCTGTCCTAGAGGCTAAGATGCCTTCCAACTCTTCCTTTTCCCTATCAGAGACACTCTGCCAATTTGGTGGTCCTCAAGAGAAATTAGAATATAT
Organism: Homo sapiens; assembly: GCF_000001405.40. Classification (NCBI taxonomy): domain Eukaryota; kingdom Metazoa; phylum Chordata; class Mammalia; order Primates; family Hominidae; genus Homo; species Homo sapiens. Next base: position 71,993,866 of record NC_000014.9, on the reverse strand, counting down.
TGGGGCAGCTACCCCCTCGTGCTCTTCTAATCCAGTAAGCTTCAGAACTCTAATCTTCATAATAATACAAGTTATGAAAGTCTGGGTCAGATTCCCTGTGGCCCACTGATGCTAGTGTCATCTTAGACTCTAGATGACATCAAGATTTGCCATCCATGCTACCACTGTTGAATTCAGTATATACCCTAAAGGCTATAATAAACCTGTAAGACTCACGCAGTAGAAAATCAAGGTTAAGGTCAAGGTCAAACTCCACTACTTACCATCTGTATAAGCCAGAGCAAGCCACTTAACTCTTCTGTGTTAATTTCTTTATGTATAAAGTAAGGATAACAACAATATCTATGACATAAGATTATCACAAAGATCCGATGAAATAATATAAAATAAAGCATTGTGGCTAGAATACAGTAAGGGATCAATAGATAGTAACTATTCATTTCATTATTATTACTATTATTATAAAAGTATGGGTCTACCATCCATTAATTCATCTAGACTCCATGAATACATTGGAAAATGAATTCCATCTAAAAGCCACTCTCTAAAAAAAATATTTTGTCAAAGTGTGCGCTGTTCATGGCAGCTAAGATGTGTTGCCATGGCCACAGCAAAGCAATGGTTCCAATTAAAGAACACAAATTCTAGTACTTAAGAGATGGAAACTAAAGGGACAAGTTCCCCAACAGGAGTAAGTCCTCCCTTACCTTACAGTTTCTGGGAATTTTTTCAATTCCAGGAGTCTAATTAATGCTGCATTAAAACTAAATACTTTTCCATTTAATTATCTTCAATTGTAAAGACAACATCTCCTTAAAGTAAAAGGCTATGTTCATAACACGTCATGTAGCATCAACTTAAAAACCACAGAAGTCCCTTACATAAAAGGCTCCAACAAATTAATAGAGAAGACAAATGCTCTTATTGAACAATGGAGAAAGAACATGCATCAGACACTCACCTTAGAAGAAATATAGAGAGTATTCATAAGATAAAAAAAGATGAAGCTTGTTTTACCTATTAAAGTAGCAAAGCGTCAAAAGAGTCCTTGTTATAGACAAGGGTGTAGAAACACAGCCCTGCTATATACCACTCAAGAAATATAAGTTGGCCAAATATATCAACCTGACAACAAATATCAAAACCTTAAAATGCATGTGTTATTCTAATTCTAGGAATTTATCCAAGCAAATAATTACTAACGTGCGTAAAAACATAATGAGTAGTTAAGAGCATGGCTTCTAAAAATCAAACAAATTTAAATTTTGAGTTTTCTATTTACTAACCATCTAACCTTAGGCAAATTACCCACCTGTTCTTTATCCGAGTTCCCTCATCTGTTAAATAGAAAGAATAATACCTACACTACACAGGGCTGTGGGCAGGTGTAAGTCAGAATGCAAATAGAACAAACGAAGCAATGTTGCAAGCGCAGAGTAAGGCCTCAAACAACATTAGCTATTACTCTGACTGGTTAAGTAAATAATGATATATCAATAAGATAGAACACTATTTAGGCATTAAAAATGATATTCTAGTGGAGTGTGGGCTCACGCCTGTAATCCCAACACTTTGGGAGGCCAAGGTGGGAGGATCGTTTGAGGTCAGGAGTTCAAGACCAGCCTGGCCAACATGGCAAAACTCTGTCTATACTAAAACTACAAAAAAATTAGCCAAGCATGGCGGCGCAGGCCTATAGTCCCAGCTATTCAGGAGGCTAAGGCAGGAGAATCACTTGAACCCAGGAGGTGGAGGTTGCAGTGAGCCTAGATCATGCCACTGCACTCCAGCCTGGGTGACAGAGTAAGACTCTGTCTCACTCTGTCTCAAAAAAAAAAAAAAAAGATATTCTAGACAAGCATAGGCAAACTACAGCCCCACCCATGGGCCAAATCTGGCTCACTGCCTGTTTTCATAAAGTTTTATTAGAATACAGACATGTCCATTCATTTACACACTTTCTGTGAATGCTTCTGCACTTATAACAGCAGAGTTGATTAGCTGAAAGAGACAGTAAGTCCCACAAAGCCTAAAATAGTTACTATGTGGCCCTTTAAACAAAGTGATCCAATTGCTGGTCTAGAGGAATATTGACTGTCACAAGAAAATATTCTCAATCTATTATGTGAAAAGAAGCTTCCCAACAGCAAGTACAGTAAGTCTCTATTTCTGTTAAAATATGTACCTAGAAAAGAAGCATGGAAGTAGGTACTTCAAAAGTTAACCACAACTCTCTGAGCAGGGGGTTGTTACATGTTTTATTTATTTCTTTGGCTTATCTATAATTTCGGAATTTTTCTTTTACAATTAACATGAACCATTTCTGAAACAAGAAAAAAAATATAAAAGAAGAAACTAAGAAGGAAATAACCTGTTTTAATTGAGACACAGAGGGCAAATACCACATTTAATGGTAAAAACAGAACGGAAAGGTATTTTTCATTGGTGAGAGAAATATTGGTTTGTCTTCTTGTCTGTTTTTTTCTCATCCTCTCTCACAGATAGGAATGTGGAAGATGAGGAGAGAGGGAAGGAAGAAAACAAGGAAAGGAAGGTAACAGCAGAATTGTTACATGATGTGGACAGCCGCCAAACTCAATAGTTCTGAGATAAATAACTGTGCAAGGTTTAGAGGCAATACCCAATGTTTGAACCTCAGAGTTACACAATCCACCCAATACAGGGATAAGCTATGTGGCAGAGAATCTCATCTGAGAAAGATAAAGGATATGTCTCAGGAACGCTTAATCAACAGGTTTGTCCTTCACATTTATTTATCACCTACTTGGTGCCAAGCATTTACAATATCCTAGGGAGACAAACAGAAAATGTTATCTTTTTTTACATGGCATTGGATTCACATGGCATGTCATTTTCATATTGCGTAGAGTGGTGAGTGATTAGGCCTGTCAAAGAGAATCAGGTTCAGGTTCTGCCTCCGATGCCAACTATGTGGAGGATGCTACACCAAGCACTGAAGCTCAGAAGGAGAACAGTTTTGGCAGGGCAAGAAATAAGCTATGTTCTACCTGTTATGTTTGTGGTAAGTGAGGAAGATTCAAACAGAGATGTCTTTTTGGTAGCTGGATATAGGCATTTGGAGTTTGGAGAGAGGATAGCAATTTGGGGATCCTCAATGCAGCATGTAGAGAGGAGGAGATGGCCCCTGGACAGCATACAGAAAAGAATGGGCCAAAGTTTCACGGGGTGGGCAGAAGAAGCTGCCCCGGGAATGAAGACGAAGAAGGAATATGCAGAGATTGGGGTAAAACCAAGACAGAATGCTTGTGAAATGTGCCCAGGAATGATCCTCTCCACTACTTAAAATTTGCTTAAAATGAGCTGTTTCAGTACATCCCTGTGCAGCTGTGAGCAGCTGTCCTGGTTAATAACATATTCCCATGTCCCAAAGGACACAAACCTTGGAAGATGTGTTTCCCAATAACTTTTCAACCTTTTACTGAGCAGAACACATGAATTTTGCCCTTCCTCATTTGGAACCATGTGGAAAGGGGAACCACGAATGGGGATCTGCTTTTGGTTTGGATTGGGGCTTGCTATGGTTTGGATAATGGGATTTTTTGTCCCCATCAAATCTCATGTTGAAATTTGCTCCCCACTGTGGTGGTGTCAGAAGGTGGGGCCTAGGGGAAGGTGTTTGAGTTATAGGCGTAGAACCCTCATGAATGACTTCGTGCTGGGCTGCTGTTCTCACTCTGGCGAGATGGGATTAGGTTGGTTTATTATTATGTAAAGCCAGGATGCCCTTTGGGTATGGTGTCTCTTCACACGTACTCACTTCTCCTTTGACCTTCTCTGACATGTTGATGCCGGTGCCATGCTTCTTGTACACCTGCAGAACTGTGAGCTAAATAACCCTCTTTTCTTTATAAATCCTCTTTTCTTTATACCCAGTGTCTGGTACTCCTTTACAGCAACACAAAATGGACTAAGACAGGACTGAAACTCAAGCAATGGATGTGGTAATAGGAAAGAGAAAGGTACAGTGCATTCAGCAGAGTCACAGTTGTAAAGTAATGCCAACAAAAAAAACCATCTACAACGTGAAATTCGTCTCTGGAGGTCAGTTGATGACCTGAGGTTCACTGAGGATAAACTAAAAACCATACGGCTTAGAGTCTATCACAGCCTCTGCTAAGGTAAGTGTGAGTGACGCAGCTCTATTCCCAAAGACCTGGCCCATGGGAAGTAGTGTACAGGCACCAGACCCCAGGTCAAGAGGTCTGGCTCTGCCACTAAAAGCTGGTTGAGCCTAGAAAGGCCTCTTTACCCCTGAGCTTCAGTTTCCTCATTTACAAAGCAGAAATAGATATGTCTGCCTTATGTTTTTCACAGGCCTTTTACAAATATAACATGCAGGATGCAGAGTGCTAGAAGAAATTATAAAAATGGAAGTCGATATTATCACCGAACACCATAACTCAGTGATTAGAGTATCTTGCCTATGAGGTTGTGATAGCCCTGGCATCCCAGAGGAAAGATCAGAAGTAAGCAGCTCCCCAGGTGGTTGTCTTGTTCCTTCCAGGTCTTGTGAAAGAGCATGGTCTGTGAAGAAGAGACAGCCTGACCTGCAACTCGGGATTCCCACTTACAGGGGAGGCCCAGGCATGGGTTTACCCAGTGTAAGCTCCTTTCTTCATATGCGGCATGGGAATAACAATGATTTTACAGCAGTGCTCTCAGTGTGAGCAATTCACGTGCCCAAAGCACTGGCCCAATGCCTGGCACAAAGTGGGTCCTGCAGAAATTGACAGCCATTTGGACATTGCATCTGAGATGGAGGTAGCCAGCCAGCAAGTGGAATATCCTAGTGGGATATTTCAGAACAGCCAGCTCAACACTTCCAGCAGCTCAATATGCCTGTTTTTTATTTTAAAAAAACAAACAAAAATCTCATCAATAATGTACTGGCATAAATTATGTGACCCCTCAGGAAAGGAAACATATTATTTGAGGGGTGAATGGCAGGTCTTGTATATTTTTTGTAGTACAGGAATGTGCACTTGTTTCTAATTTATCTTGTATACCCCCTCCCCAGTTAGACCCTCCATGGGTTCCTGGAAATAAATCAGCACCACATGGAATCACTGGGTCTTGGTTCCTATGGAAATATTGTCCCAACAAGGACATTTGCCGATGCTTTTTCAGTCTCTTTCAAATCTCCGAAAACAGAAGCTGCAAACTTCTCTGTAAAAAGCCAGTTAGTAAATATTTTAGGCTTCACCGGTCATACGGACAGTCTCTGTCACAACCACTCAACTCCTCCGTGGTAGCTCAAAAAAAAAAGCCATAGATAATTCATAAACAAATGATGTGGCTGTGTTTCAATAAAACTTGATATACAGATACTGAAATTTGAATTTCACATAATGTTCACATGTCACAAAATATGGCTTCTCTTTTAAAGTTTTTCAACCATTGCAAAATGTAGAAACCATCCTGAGGCTCAAGGGATCAAAGGCATGGGGACAGATTAGGCCCAACAGCAAGTTGCTTGCTGACAACTGTCCTAAAGTTGTAACATGTCATCAGCCATAGGAGACTTTTGTTTCAACTACTGACCCCTCCTTCCCAGCAACGCAATGAAGTTAATGACAGTAATAACTCCCTTCAGAAAGAAAATGCTCACCCCCTGCTCGCTCACTGATAGTTAGACTTTATCATCTGTTTCCTTGACTAGCTCCTCGAAGGGCTCATCTACCTTGAGTCACATTAGCGCCCAGGGTCAGACTCTTCCCTGGCAGATTGGCCACCAACACTATCACTTGTGTGCCTTTTGTCAGCCACTATATGTCACAAATCCTGACCAGAACATGGAAAATGACGGAAAGAGAGGCCTTGGCAGAGTCAACAAGCAGATTGGCACATGTCTCTCAAGCTAAGGGAAGTGCGATATGCCAGCACTTTCTCTCATTGTTTGAAAAAAGCACATAAAGTCTTCTACTATGCCAGATGGACAGTCATGAGAAGGTTATTTATTCACTGTATTGTTTAGTATCATAATTAATATTTTTTTAAAATATAGTTCAAGCATGGTGGCTCACATCTGTAATCTCAGCATGTTGGGAGGCTGAGGAGGGAGGATATACTTGAGCCCAGGAGTTCAAGCCCAGCCTGGGCAGCACAGTGAGACCCTGTCTCTACAAAAAAGTTTAAAAATTAGCCAGGTGTGGTGGTGCATGCCTGTAGTCCCAGCTATGGGAAGGCTGAGACGGGAGGATCAAGCCCCAGAGGTCAAGGCTGAGTGAGCCAAGATCACACCATTACACTCCAGCCTGGGGAACAGAGTGAGACTCTCTCTGAAAAAATAAAAAATAAATAAAATAATTAGAGACAAATAGTCCTATAAGGAAGCCACACTGGATGGGACTACAGTAAATGAGGTCTTCCTTTTATTCATTTTGAATGTATCTGCTTGGTCACTTCTCCTCGATGGCATGGGCTTGTTTGTGGGGCCTAACAGGAGCACCCAGTGAGCAGGTTGTGAAGGTCTTTAAGCCACCCTCCCATCCTCACTGCCAGTCTCTGAAACTCTCCTCTTTTCTGCCCTCCAATGAACTTCAGCCAATACAAACAGACATCCCAGACTTAGTTTAGATTGCCACATATCAACCATCACAAATACAGGAAGGAAAAACAAAACTTCAGCGTACCTCCTCCCTAGCTATGAAAAAGACAAAAATTCCAAAATTATTTTCCTTTCCTTTTCTAAGACAGTGTGATAAGTAGAATAACGGCCCTCCAAAGATGTCCACACCCTAATCCCACAAACCTATAAATATGTTATTTGACTTGGCAAAAGAGACTCTGCAGGTGGGACTAAGTTAAGGACTCTGAGATGGGGAGGTACCCCTGGATTATGTGTGTGGGCTCCATGTAATCACCGGGGGTCCTATAAGAGAGAGAAAGGAAGGTCAGAGTTGGAGAAGGAGATATGATGCCAAGAGTAGAGGTGGGACTGATGTGGGGCTATGACTTAGGGAATGTAGGCAGCCTCTAGAAGCTGGAAAAGGGGAGGAAATGAATTCTCCTAGAGCCCCCTGAGGGCATGCAGCTCTGCCAAATCATTTTTCACTCCTGATTTCTAGAATTATAAGAAAATGCATTTGTGGGGTTTCTTGGTTTTTTGTTTTTTGAGACAGGGTCTCACTCTGTCACCCAGGTTGCAATGCGGTGGCACGATCATGGCTCACTGCAGCCTTGAGCTCCCCAGGCTCAGGTGATCCTCCCACTTCAGCCTCCTGAGTAGTTGGGATTACAGGTGCACGCCACCACACCCAGACAACTTTTGTATTTTTTTTTTTTTAAATAGAGATGGGGTCTCATCATGTTGGCCAGGCTGGTCTTGAACTCCTGAGCTCAAGCAATCCCATCTCAGCCTCCCAAAGTGCTGGAATTACAGGCATGCACCACTGTGCCTGGCCTTGTTTTAAGCCATTACATTTGTGGCAATTTGTTATGGCAGCAATAGGAAACTAATCCAGGCAGCTGCTGAAAACGTTACAGACAAAGAGAAAGTATAGTTTCTAATAAGTTAGCCACTGAATCTCATTACATCTAAGCCTGAAGAATGAAAGGAAAGGTCTACTCCTTTCATGCAGGGTCCCTAAACTCCAAAACTATTGAACATTTAAATAAAGTGAGGCACAAAATGGAAGGTTGAAAGGGGTGAGTGGGCAGTTCGAGAACACTGTAGTCATATACAAAAAGCATTACCCAAGAGGACTGCAAAGGATGAGATAGAAATGGAATGTGACTTATTTATAGCAAAGCCTGCCTCCCCTCTCAAGTGTGTGACAGAAGAGCTGTTTTAAAGTTTTATTCTTCAAACTTGGCTGCAGAACTTGGCTGCTTCTCAGAACTGTGCTTTTGTATTTAGCTTTAAAATATAAGAAGCAACCCCATGGTTAAACTGTAGGCAGAGGTGGTGCAGGCAGGAAAAAATGCTGTGGGGAGTAGAAAGAGGTTGAAATGTTATTCTTATTTAGTTAGTTGCTTAAGAAAAACAAATAGAGAATAAAATAGCAAATGTCTTGGAAGGGTTCCAAGTCGAAAATTTCTGAATATCCCCAGGCATCAACAAAGCTCTCAGGATAAGGATGGTGTTGCAAAGCCAAGCAGACACTAGGATGGGGATGCGGTTTAGAGGTGAAGAAAACACTGGCCCTAATTGTTAGAAATCCCCTCACCCTCTTTCTGTAGTTCAATGACATAGAACTTTTACAACAACCCAGAGAAGCCCAGTCTATATATGCCAAAATCAATATTGACCTTCCAGAAAACCATATATATAATAGGAGTTGTAACACAGGTCATGCATTTTGACCTAGGAATTTTTTAATTTGCTATTAATAACAAACCCTAAATAAGTAAATCATGGTACATTATCTACTTAGAATATTATTCAACCTTTAAAACTATGATAGCCAGGTGCGGTGGCTCACAGCTGTAATCCCCGCACTCTGGGAGGCCAAGGTGGGCGGATCATGAGGTCAAGAGATCGAGACCATTCTGGCCAACATAGTGAGACCCCGTCTCTACTAAAAATACAAAAATTAGCTGGGCATGGTGGCACATGCCTGTAGTCCCAGCTACTCGGGAGGCTGAGGCAGGAGAATCACTTGAACTTAGGAGGCGGCGGTTGCAGTGAGCCGAGATCACACCACTGCACTCCAGCCTGGTGACAGAACGAGACTCCATCTCAAAATTAAAAATAATAAAAATAAATAAAACTATGATAATGATGACATATTATGGCACAGATTAGTGCTTAGGTTATGGTAGAAAAGCACAAAATAGCACATACACTATGATTACTCTCTAGGTTAATGTGTTATGTATACTACTGATACATATTCAAGGACTGGGAGGAAGAGACCAAAATGTTAACTTTAGTCATATTTGCATGATAGGAATATGTGAGATTTTTTCTCTACTTTATATTTTGATTCTTTCTAAATTGAATTATTACTTTTTAAATGGAAAGCGATTATTTCTGAAGAGGAATGGAAAAAAAATTCATTGGCAGAAGGCTCAGCTTTACCAATACCTTACCATGTGAGACACAGAGCTAAAAATGTTTGTTTTCTTACTTCAAGGTCTCCATATGAAGAATGAGGCTATAATTATATAAAGCACGTATCTTATATATAGTGTTATAAAATATATTTTCTCCTAAATACATCTGATATATTCTATCCCCTTGCCTTGGTTCACGTAGCTCCCATCACCTGGAATCAGTTTTTGGCTCTTTTCCACCAGCCAACTCCTACCCTTTCTTAAAAACACAGTTCAGATGATTTCTCTTCAAATTTCTTCTTCCTCAATAAGCCTTCCTTGTCCACACCAACTTTTTTTTTTTCTTTTTGAGACAGGGTCTCACTATATTGCACGGGCTGGTCTCAAACTCCTGGGCTCAAGGGATCCTCCCATCTCAGCCTCCTCAGTAGCTAGGACTACAGATGCAAGCCACCACACCCAGCTCTCACACTAACTCTCTTATGGTTAATTTCTAACAGCTTTGTTTTTTTTTTTTTTTTTTTTTTTTAACATAATTCAGTTTCTTCCCCAAAACCACAGGCTTTAGAATACAACAAATCTAGATTCAAATTCTGATAGCACCACTTAATACTAGTTATTTACTCCTTCTGACCCTCAGTTCCCTTATCTGTAATATAGGGTGAATACCACTTACCTAGCAAGCTATTCTGATGATTAAATGGCTCAATATATGTATAGCCCCCACTGCAGTATCTGGTAAATGGTAGGTGGCCAACCAAAGCTTATTTTCCTCCTGAGTTCTGCATCACTCTTGGTCTCCCCAGTTGGACAGTAAAGTTGTCTAGGACAGAGACTGTGTGCCACGCTACTTTTTATTCCCCACACAGTGCTTTGTCAGAAGCAACAGCTCAATAAGTACACTACTTGTTCATTTGATCTTTGCAGAGAGCACTAAGCTTCACGCGGTGATAAACTAGAAATTGTTGTGGATTGAGTTGTGTCTGTCAAAAAGATATTTTGTAGTCCTAAACCCTGGGACTTGCGTATGTAAGTTCATTTGGAAATTAGGGTCTTTGAGATGTAATTCATTAAGATGAGGTCACAATCAATTGGGGGTATGGGGATGTAGGCCTAAATCCCACAACTAGTGTCCTTATAAGGCCATGTGAAACACAGAGGTAGGCACATGAGGAAGGTGAGGTAGGACAAAGGCGAAGACCAGGGTGATGCTGCTGCAAGCCAAGGAACACCAAGGATCTCCAGCAGCCACAGAAAGCCTGGAAGAGGCAAGAAAGGGGACTTCCCTAAGCCTTCAAATGGAGCGTAGCCCTGCCCAGTCCTTGATTTCAGATTTCTATCCTCCTGAACTGTGACAGAATATATTCCTGTTGTCTTAAGCCATAGTTTGTGGGACTTTGTTACAGCACCTTAGCAAACTAATACAGAAATGTTCAAAAGTGTCATACTGACAGATACAAGTTACTTCCTGTTTTCTAAACCAAAAAGGTCTCTGGAGTCAGGTAAGGTTTCCTCCAGGTAAAGCTTCTTTTCAGGTCCATTTCATACGTAGAGGTATTTGCCTGGATTTATTCCCTCTGTCCAGAGTTTTACATAACTAGGCTGTGGTGAATGTCATTCTGTTACTGTGGTGACTTGAGGCTCCAGTGTCACTAACCCAACCACTTATCCTAGTGACTGGACATCCAGATGCCCAGTCCAGATCCTGGCCATTAGCCCTGAATCCTCCTCTCTCATCTCCATCTAAAACTAATAACGGGTTAATTCCACTTTTTAAATATACTGGAAGTTTCACTTTTCTTCACCTCTACCACCATCACGCTAGACCACTAAGACACTCAGGATATGTCTTTTCTAAAACATTTTAAGAGCAAACCAAGGCTATAAAAGATGGATCCACCTTCTCTCAAGGCCAATGTTCTGGGGTTCTACTTCTGACAATGGCTAACTAGATGTTTCAGAAACACCCTCCTGATGAGAGCAACTGGAAATGCTGAAAAACATTTTGTTAAACATGTTTGAGGGCACTGAAAAGCAACCAAGACAGTAAGAGTTTGTGAGGCCATGACCTGAAAGAAGAAAACTAAGAAGATGAGCCCAGCAATTGGAGCTGCTTGTTCTTCTCAAGAGCATTGTCAATTTCTTAAACAAAAGGCATGATCAAGAAGCTGAACAGAGCTTTTGGCAGTGTCATAGAGTTTAAAGGACAAAAATTAGAGGTCAGAGTCCTCCAAGGAGGAGGGGCACCCAGGGTTTTGGTTGGAACCAGAAGGGCTCCCTACAGAGAGTAAAGGAGATCTAGAAATATATCTAGCCCTAAGAAGAACTGAAGTCCAGCTACAAGTAATCTTTGTGTCTGACTTGATTAAGGTAATCCATTCCTATTTTGACTGACATAAAAGAAAAAAATAGTTAAGTTCTCTCAGAAGTAACGTAACATTGTCCTAGAGCCGTAAATGATGTCTTCTATATTATTTGTATAATGCCCAGAACTTAATAAAAAATAAACAGAAGGAGGGAGGAGCCAAGATGGCCAAATAGGAACAGCTCCAGTCTACAGCTCCCAGCCTGAGCGACGCAGAAGACGGGTGATTTCTGCATTTCCATCTGAGGTACCGGGTTCATCTCACTAGGGAGTGCCAGACACTGGGCGCAGGTCAGTGGGTGCACGCACCATGCGCCAGCCGAAGCAGGGCGAGGCGTTGCCTCACTCGGGAAGCGCAAGGGGTCAGGGAGTTCCCTTTCCTAGTCAAAGAAAGGGGTGACGGAGGGCACCTGGAAAATCGGGTCACTCCCACCCGAATACTGCGCTTTTCCGACGGGCTTAAAAAACGGCGCACCACGAGATTATATCCCACACCTGGCTCGGAGGGTCCTACGCCCACGGAGTCTCGCTGATGGCTAGCACAGCAGTCTGAGATCAAACTGCAAGGCGGCAACGAGGCTGGGGGAGGGGTGCCCACCATTGCCCAGGCTTGCTTAGGTAAACAAAGCAGCCGGGAAGCTCGAACTGGGTGGAGCCCACCACAGCTCAAGGAGGCCTGCCTGCCTCTGTAGGCTCCACCTCTGGGGGCAGGGCACAGACAAACAAAAAGACAGCAGTAACCTCTGCAGACTTAAATGTCCCTGTCTGACAGCTTTGAAGAGAGCAGTGGTTCTCCCAGCACGCAGCTGGAGATCTGAGAACGGGCAGACTGCCTCCTCAAGTAGGTCCCTGACCCCTGACCCCCGAGCAGCCTAACTGGGAGGCACCCCCGAGCGGCCTAACTGGGAGGCACCCCCCAGCAGGGGCACACTGACACCTCACACGGCCGGGTATTCCAACAGACCTGCAGCTGAGGGTCCTGTCTGTTAGAAGGAAAACTAACAAACAGAAAGGACACCCACACCAAAAACATCTGTACATCACCATCATCAAACACCAAAAGCAGATAAAACCACAAAGATGGGGAAAAAACAGAATAGAAAAACGGGAAACTCTAAAAAGCAGAGCGCCTCTCCTCCTCCAAAGGGAAGCAGTTCCTCACCAGCAACGGAACAAAGCTGGACGGAGAATGACTTTGATGAGCTGAGAGAAGAAGGCTTCAGACGATCAAATTACTCTGAGCTACGGGAGGACATTCAAACCAAAGGCAAAGAAGTTGAAAACTTTGAAAAAAATTTAGAAGAATGTATAACTAGAATAATCAATACAGAGAAGTGCTTAAAGGAGCTGATGGAGCTGAAAACCAAGGCTCGACAACTATGTGAAGAATGCAGAAGCCTCAGGAGCCGATGCGATCAACTGGAAGAAAGGGTATCAGCAATGGAAGATGAAATGAATGAAATGAAGTGAGAAGGGAAGTTTAGAGAAAAAAGAATAAAAAGAAATGAGCAAAGCCTCCAAGAAATATGGGACTATGTGAAAAGACCAAATCTACGTCTGATTGGTGTACCTGAAAGTGATGGGGAGAATGGAACCAAGTTGGAAAACACTCTGCAGGATATTATCCAGGAGAACTTCCCCAATCTAGCAAGGCAGGCCAACTTTCAGATTCAGGAAATACAGAGAACGCCACAAAGATACTCCTCGAGAAGAGCAACTCCAAGACACATAATTGTCAGATTCACCAAAGTTGAAATGAAGGAAAAAATGTTAAGGGCAGCCAGAGAGAAAGGTCGGGTTACCCTCAAAGGGAAGCCCATCAGACTAACACCGGATCTCTCAGCAGAAACCCTACAAGCCAGAAGAGAGTGGGGGCCAATATTCAACATTCTTAAAGAAAAGAATTTTCAATCCAGAATTTCATATCCAGCCAAACTAAGCTTCATAAGTGAAGGAGAAATAAAATACTTTACAGACAAGCAAATGCTGAGAGATTTTGTCACCACCAGGCCTGCCCTAAAAGAGCTCCTGAAGGAAGTGCTAAACATGGAAAAGAACAACCGGTACCAGCCGCTGCAAAATCATACCAAAATGTAAAGACCATCGAGACTAGGAAGAAACTGCATCAACTAACGAGCAAAATCACCAGCTAACATCATAATGACAGGATCAAATTCACACATAACAATATTAACTTTAAATGTAAATGGACTAAATGCTCCAATTAAAAGACACAGACTGGCAAATTGGATAAAGAGTCAAGACCCATCAGTGTGCTGTATTCAGGAAACCCATCTCATGTGCAGAGACACACATAGGCTCAAAATAAAAGGATGGAGGAAGATCTACCAAGCAAATGGAAAACAAAAAAAGGCAGGGGTTGCAATCCTAGTCTCAGATAAAACAGACTTTAAACCAACAAAGATCAAAAGAGACAAAGAAGGCCATTACATAATGGTAAAGGGATCAATTCAACAAGAAGAGCTAACTATCCTAAATATATATGCACCCAATACAGGAGCACCCAGATTCATAAAGCAAGTCCTGAGTGACCTACAAAGAGACTTAGACTCCCACACATTAATAATGGGAGACTTTAACACCCCACTGTCAACATTAGACAGATCAATGAGATAGAAAGTCCACAAGGATACCCAGGAATTGAACTCAGCTCTGCACCAAGCAGACCTAATAGACATCTACAGAACTCTCCACCCCAAATCAACAGAATATACATTTTTTTCAGCACATCACACCTATTCCAAAATTGACCACATACTTGGAAGTAAAGCTCTCTTCAGCAAATGTAAAAGAACAGAAATTATAACAAACTATCTCTCAGACCACAGTGCAATCAAACTAGAACTCAGGATTAAGAATCTCACTCAAATCCACTCAACTACATGGAAACTGAACAACCTGCTCCTGAATGACTACTGGGTACATAACGAAATGAAGGCAGAAATAAAGATGTTCTTTCAAACCAATGAGAACAAAGACACAACATACCAGAATCTCTGGGACGCATTCAAAGCAGTGTGTAGAGGGAAATTTATAGCACTAAATGCCCACAAGAGAAAGCAGGAAAGATCCAAAATTGACACCCTAACATCACAATTAAAAGAACTAGAAAAGCAAGAGCAAACACATTCAAAAGCTAGCAGAAGGCAAGAAATAACTAAAATCAGAGCAGAAATGAAGGAAATAGAGACACAAAAAACCCTTCAAAAAATTAATGAATCCAGGAGCTGGTTTTTTGAAAGGATCAACAAAATAGATAGACCGCTAGCAAGACTAATAAAGAAAAAAAGAGAGAAGAATCAAATAGACACAATAAAAAATGATAAAGGGGATATCACCACCGATCCCACAGAAATACAAACTACCATCAGAGAATACTATAAACACCTCTACGCAAATAAACTAGAAAGTCTAGAAGAAATGGATAAATTCCTCGACACATACACTCTCCTAAGACTAAACCAGGAAGAAGTTGAATCTCTGAATAGACCAATAACAGGATCTGAAATTGTGGCAATAATCAATAGCTTACCAACCAAAAAGAGTCCAGGACCAGATGGATTCACAGCGGAATTCTACCAGAGGTACAAGGAGGAGCTGGTACCATTCCTTCTGAAACTATTCCAATCAATAGGAAAAGAGGGAATCCTCCCTAACTCATTTTATGAGGCCAGCGTCACCCTGATACCAAAGCCTGGCAGAGACACAACATAAAAAGAGAATATTAGACCAATATCCTTGATGAACATTGATGCAAAAATCCTCAATAAAATACTGGCAAAACGAATCCAGCAGCACATCAAAAAGCTTATCCACCATGATCAAGTGGGCTTCATCCCTGGGATGCAAGGCTGGTTCAATATATGCAAATCAGTAAATGTAATCCAGCATATAAACAGAACCAAAGACAAAAACCGCATGATAATCTCAATAGATGCAGAAAAGGCCTTTGACAAAATTCAACAACCCTTCATGCTAAAAACTCTCAATAAATTAGGTATTGATGGGACGTATTTCAAAATAATAAGAGCTATCTATGACAAACCCACAGCTAATATCATACTGAATGGGCAAAAACTGGCAGCATTCCCTTTGAAAACTGGCACAAGACAGGGATGCCCTCTCTCACCACTCCTATTCAACATAGTGTTGGAAGTTCTGGCCAGGGCAATTAGGTAGGAGAAGGAAATAAAGGGTATTCAATTAGGAAAAGAGGAAGTCAAATTGTCCCTGTTTGCAGACGACATGATTGTATATCTAGAAAACCCCATTGTCTCAGCCCAAAATCTCTTTAAGCTGATAAGCAACTTCAGCAAAGTCTCAGGATACAAAATCAATGTACAAAAATCACAAGCATTCTTATACACCAACAACAGACAAACAGAGAGCCAAATCATGAGTGAACTCCATTCACAATTGCTTCAAAGAGAATAAAATACCTAGGAATCCAACTTACAAGGGATGTGAAGGACCTCTTCAAGGAGAACTACAAACCACTGCTCAAGGAAATAAAAGAGGATACAAACAAATGGAAGAACATTCCATGCTCATGGGTAGGGAGAATCAATATCGTGAAAATGGCCATACTGCCCAAGGTAATTTATAGATTCAATGCCATCCCCATCAAGCTACCAATGCCTTTCTTCACAGAATTGGAAAAAACTACTTTAAAGTTCATATGGAACCAAAAAAGAGCCCGCATCGCCAAGGCAATCCTAAGCCAAAAGAACGAAGCTGGAGGCATCACACTACCTGACTTCAAACTATACTACAAGGCTACAGTAACCAAAACAGCATGGTACTGGTACCAAAACAGAGATATAGATCAACGGAACAGAACAGAGCCCTCAGAAATAATGCCACATATCTACAACTATCTGATCTTTGACAAACCTGAGAAAAACAAGCAATGGAGAAAGGATTCCCTATTTAATAAATGGTGCTGGGAAAACTGGCTAGCCATATGTAGAAAGCTGAAACTGGATCCCTTCCTTACACCTTATACAAAAATCAATTCAAGATGGATTAAAGACTTAAACGTTAGACCTAAAACCATAAAAACCCTAGAAGAAAACCTAGGCATTACCATTCAGGTCATAGGCATGGGCAAGGACTTCATGTCTAAAACACCAAAAGCAATGGCAACAAAAGCCAAAATTGACAAATGGGATCTAATTAAACTAAAGAGCTTCTGCACAGCAAAAGAAACTACCATCAGAGTGAACAGGCAACCTACAAAATGGGAGAAAATTTTCGCAACCTACTCATCTGACAAAGGGCTAATATCCAGAATCTACAATGAACTCAAACAAATTTACAAGAAAAAAACAAACCACCCCATCAAAAAGTGGACGAAGGACATGAACAGACACTTCTCAAAAGACGACATTTATGCAGCCAAAAGACACATGAAAAAATGCTCATCATCACTGGCCATCAGAGAAATGCAAATCAAAACCACAATGAGATACCATCTCACACCAGTTAGAATGGCAATCATTAAAAAGTCAGGAAACAACAGGTGTTGGAGAGGATGTGGAGAAATAGGAACACTTTTACACTGTTGGTGGGACTGTAAACTAGTTCAACCATTGTGGAAGTCAGTGTGGTGATTCCTCAGGGATCTAGAACTAGAAATACCATTTGACCCAGCCATCCCATTACTGGGTATATACCCAAAGGACTATAAATCATGCTGCTATAAAGACACATGCACATGTATGTTTATTGCGGCATTATTCAGAAGAGCAAAGACTTGGAACCAACTCAAATGTCCAACAATGATAGACTGGATTAAGAAAATGTGGCACATATACACCATGGACTACTATGCAGCCATAAAAAAGAATGAGTTCACGTCCTTTGTAGGGACATGGATGAAACTGGAAATCATCATTCTCAGTAAACTATCGCAAGAACAAAAAACCAAACACCGCATATTCTCACTCATAGGTGGGAACTGAACAATGAGATCACATGGACACAGGAAGGGGAACATCACACTCTGGGGACTGTTGTGGGGTGGGGGGAGGGGGGAGGGATAGCATTGGGAGATATACCTAATGCTAGATGACGAGTTAGTGGGTGCAGCGCACCAGCATGGCACATGTATACATATGTAACTAACCTGCACAATGTGCACATGTACCCTAAAACTTAAAGTATAATAATTAAAAAAAATAAAAAATAAAATAAATAAACAGAAGAACAAAAAAAAAAGAAAAAAAAGAAAGAAAAGGTTAGTAGAAACAGTCCAGCAAGTGATAAAGACTTTAAAGTATCAGATATGGACTTTGAAACAATTATGATTAATAAGTTTAGGAATTAAATGACAAAATAGAGAAGTTTAGCAGAAAACTAGAAACTATAAAAAGAAAATTAAATGAAAATTTTAGAACTTAAAAAATCAATAACTAAGGTTACAAATTCAATGGGATGACTTTAACCACAGATTATCTAATATATTGAAGAGAGAATTAGTGAACTGGAGGATAAGTCGGTAGAAAATATCCATGTTGAAGCACAAAATGACAAAGGAATAAAAAATACAGAAAAGAGCATAAGAAACACATGAAATCTAGAGGAAAAAGGTCCTAACATATGAACACAATCCCAAGAAGAGAGAAATGAGAAAACTAGGCATAAACAATATTTGAAAAGTTAATGGTTAAGAATTCCCAAGCACAGTCGGGCATGGTGGCTCATGCCTATAATCCCAGCACTTTGGGAGGCTGAGGTGGGAGGATCACGAGGTCAAGAGATCGAGACCATCCTGGTCAACATGGTGAAACCCCGACTGTACTAAAAATACAAAAATTATTTGGGCGTGGTGGCACGCACCTCTAGTCCCAGCTACTCGGGAGGTTGGGGCAGGAGAATCACTTGATTCCAGGAGGTGGCAGCTGCAGTGAGCCAAGGTTGCACCACTGCACTCCAGCCTGGGTGACAGAGCAAGCCTCCATCAAAAAAAAAAAGAATCCCCAAGCACCAACCAAATAAAAAGAAGTCTCATAAGCTCTAAGGAGAATAAATTAAAAAGAAAATCACACCTTATAATAAAACTGCTAAAACCAAAGTGAAATAAATCTTAAAAGCAGCCAAAGGAAAAAACAGATTACATTCGAAGGAGGAATAATCAAACTTACAGCCAACTGCCCAACAGAAACAATGAAAGCCAAGAGACAATGACAGTTATGATAAATAAAATAACCGACAATCTAGAATTCTAAATCTAGAAAAAACACCCTTCACAAAATGAAGATGAAACAAAGACTTTCTTTTTGTCTTTGAAACCATGCCTCACTCTGTTGCCCAGGCTAGAGTGTGGTGGCACAATCATGGCCCACTGCAGCCTTGACCTCCCAGGCTCAAGTGATTCCCCCACCTCCACCTCCTGAGTAGCTGGGACTACAGGCATGTACTAACATGCACAGCTAATTTTTTTTTATTTTATTTCTTTCTTTTTGTAGAGATGTTGTCTCCCTATGTTACCCAGACTGGCCTCAAACTCTTGGGCCAAGTGATCTTCCTGCCTCGGCCTCCCAAGTGCTGGGATTACAGGCGTAAGCCAACGTGCCTGGCCCAAAGATATTTTAGACAAACAAGAACTGAGAGAATTTATCTTCAGCAGACCTGCACTAAAGAAAATACTAAAAATTATTTCAGCTGTAAGCACAGAGATGCAGAAAATAATAAAGAGCAATGGAAAAAATCACTTTTGAGTAAACCTACATAACCATCATATTTAACAAATAAGACATTTTATTTTAAAAAATGAAAAAATCTTGTAGGGTTTTAAAAATAAAGAATATTCTCCCTAACCATACCCTAGAATGTCAGTAGCCATCTCACTTTCAAGACAATTATTAGGTTGACCAGAACAGAAATCCAGTAAACTAACTATGAGATCATTCCAAATGTGAATCCTATCCCCCTAAAATTAGTTTCCTTTCAATGGATATTTGATTTCTTTCCAAACTTTGGATATTATTTACCAGAAAGATATCACTATTCTTTTGGAGTGGGTGTATGTCTATATCTATATATATGTCTTTGCATATTCTTTCCCTTATTGAAATAAGTTTTTAGAACAGAGAATGCTGATCAAAAAAATGTGTCCATTTTCTGTTTTGCTCTGTACTGGCAAACTAACAGAACTTTTAAAAGTAATCCTTCTATCCTCCAATTATTTTAAAATGTATTTATTTTTTCTTTCACAGGTATCTATTCGCTTTTATTTTTTTTTCTCCAAAATCCTGCCAATAGGGAATTTACAGCCATTCAGGTTCTCCACAGTGTAAGAATACTGCAAAGGAGTGTCAATAACAAGAGTGATCAACTGCCTGCCAAAATGAAAAATCTTAGACTCCTTGAAATGAAATGAGGGGGAGAAATTGGAAAGATTAAATGAAGACGTAAACACACCAAAGGCTTTTCAAATTAGAAAGTTATACTCATCAAAATGCATCATATGAAACCACACTGAGCTATTCCCCACACTAAAAATACCATCCCTTTCATCTGTGGACACTGATACCACTGGTCTGGGACTTGCCTGCATGCCTGTCTCCTGCCAACCAAGATAATGTGATGGGGGAGCTTTTCTTCCAGCAAGTCTAATCCTGGGGGAAAAGGAAAACAGAACAGTTTTTTCCTAAGGCAATAAAAAAAGCTTCAAAAAATTTAATGAAAGGAATCTTAAAATGTAGACTGAACAATTAAATTAGTTACCCTGAACACTTTCTGAAGTTAGTCCTTGAGACAGAGTCTCACTCTGTCACCCAGGCTGGAGTGCGGTGGCACCATCTCTGCTCACTGTAGCTTCTGCCTCCCAGGCTCAAGTGATTCTCCTGCCTCAGCCTCCCAAGTAGCTGGGATTACAGGCGTGTGCCACCATGCCTGGCCAATTTTTGTATTTTTAGTAGAGACAGGGTTTTGCCATGTTGGCCAAGCTGATCTCAGACTCCTGATCTCAGGTGATCTGCCTGCCTTGGCCTTCCAAAGTGCTGGGATTACAGGCATGAGCCACTGCATGTGGCCAGGAATTTTATTTAATGTTAAAAAAAAAAAAAGAGTGAAAAAAAACAAGCCCTAAGTGCTGAAGACCAAAAGCCATTTGTTTTAAACATTCTGACTTACCTGTTTTTAAAGTTTTGGCTCGGTTCACTTTTTAAAGAAAATTAAAAATAAAGTAAAGGAGGCTATGAAGTAGTAAAATAATAAAATGTGGGTTTCTCTATTTTAGATTACAAAAGACCTAGAATGTTAGATCTAAAAAAATGCTTTAGAGATCACCCAGCATAGCTAACCCCTTACTTCACAAATTAAAGAACTAGACTTAACAAAAAGTAGGAACAACTTACGCATGGCCATAAATGAGCTAGTGGAGTGGGGCAGCCAGAACAAATACCCAGATATCCTGGTCCATTTACAGACTCTGTCTTGGGCTCTCTCAATTTATCTACATACAGGGAAGAGAGGGGCAGGCAATCCAGTTCTACAGCTATTTGCTTCAAAAGTTTATCCCAGGAGACTTTCTGAGAATCACAGATATAGCCTAGGGAAAAGACTCCTCATTCCTCCTCATTATTCTCAAATTCTCCCTACGTCTTCTCAGCCCCCAAATTCTGTTGCCTGAACCTCCTAAACATCTCTCAAACACATCCTCCCATCTGTATTACCACTGCCACTGATTTGGGCATCATTTTTCCTCACCTGGATTCCTGTTCAATCTCTAAACTGTCCTCCTACCTCCAATCCTACCACTTCTCCAACACTCTCCCTCCACACCGAACCCTTCCACATCGATCACCCATTGACCTCCACACTGAATCTTCTCCACATTGACTTCCCCATTTCAGATCCCATCCTCCACTTTGGACAAATGACTCCCCTGCTTCAAACCCTTTCATGAAGAATTCCCTTATCAAGAAACGCAGAGTCTCAATCGCTTCCCTTTGCTTGTGGGATAATACTTGCATTCGTTAGGGTCTTATTGGTAAACAGATGATATACATAGGACAATTTAAGGAAAATGTATTTCCAAAAGGACCAAGTTTAAAGGAGTTCTAGGGTACAGGGAAATTATAAAAAAAAAACACTCAGAAACCCCTGGCTAGTAGAAGTAGAGCTGTGTGGTAGATGGCTTCCAAAATGGCCCACAAAGATTTTCTGAATTCTGGATCTTGGTATTCACATCTTTGTGTAAATCCCTCACCTTGAGTGAGGGGTGGACCTAGTGACTTCTTACTATCAAAAGGGATGGGATAATATGTCCAAAATTGGGCTGGGGGAGGGATAGCATTAGGAGAAATACCTAATGTAAATGACAAGTTGATGGGTACAGCAAAACAACATGGCACATGTATACCTATGTAACAAACCTGCACGTTGTGCACATGTACCCTAGAACTTAAAGTATAATAAAGAAAAAAATGTCCAAAATTAGGTTATAAAACACTAAGACTACTACCACCCATCTTCCTTCTCTGCCTGTTGTCACTCTGATAAAAAAAAAAAAAAAAAAAAAAAAAAAACCTGCCATATTATGAGCTGCGATATGGAGAGACACGTGTCATAAATAACTAAGAATGGCCTCTGGCAAACAGCCAACGAAGAACCGAGTCCACCATTCCAACGGCCCCTAAGGAGCTGAATCCAGCCAACAGTCACACAAGTAAGTTTGGGAGTAGACTTTTCCCCAGCTGAGACTTCAGACGAAACCATAATCCGAGTCAACATCTTGATCACAGCCTTTTAAAAAGACACTGTGCTGGAGAACTCACGGAATCTGCACTTGGATTACTAACCCATAGAAATTGTGACATAATAAATGTTTTCAAGCCATTGAGTTTTGAGATAACTCGTTACACAGCAAGAGATAACAAATACAAACTGGAACCACCCCAAGGCCCAAAAGGATGAGTAGATGAAAAGGATGTCCGGACCCAGAAGAGGAAAGTAGTCGGCAAAGGCCCAAAAGGATGAGTAGACAAAAAGGATGTCCGGACCCAGAAGAGGAAAGTAGTCTGCCTTGAGAGAATCAACAAACTTCAGTAGACGGATATGGCCAGTGCAAGGTTTTGCAGAGTGAGACCCAGGAGAAGAAATTCTCTGACATTGCGATTCTCCTTCCCTCCCATCTCTTTCCAGACTTTTACTAACCAAACCCAACTGAAACCCAGAGGTCACAGGAGCCCTGTAAATGTAGTCCTCACAGCTCAGCCTCTGGGGCAGACAGCAGCATGCAAAGGAGTTGAACTTGGGTGTGGAGGCCCAAAGGGAAGATACTTTTACAATGTCTAAACTCCTTGGCATGGTACATAAGGTCTTTTGTGATCTGGCCCTAATCCATCTGTCTAGCTCTATTCCTCAACCTTTCATCACAGAAACCTAGCTTCATATCAACCACTTAAAGTCTCCTGAACTCGGTATACGACATCACAAATCTGCTCTTTTACAGGTGCTAGTCCTGCCTCCTACACCTTCTCTCTCCTCCTCCATCTGGTTAATTCCTAGTCATCTTTCAAGAATCGAAGCAGGTGCCAAATCCTCTGGATGTCTTCTACATCATCATCCCCTCTCCTGGGATGGACTACATGACCCCTCTACCTCCTCCCATGCCCCTCAGTTGCTTCTACCAACACTGTAATTGTCTAGTTCCCCATTTACCCCCAGCTGGCCTGTGGGCTCATTCAGGGCTCAGTTCTCATCTTGCATTCCTAGCATCTAATAGTGTCTGGCACACAAATGACACTCAATACGTATTTCCTGATTCGACAGTTTCTAATCCTCATCATGCCTTAGTCACCAGGACCTGCAGGTCCCCAGACTCTCAATTGTGCTGGCTTCTACCACTGCCCTCTATGAATTCCAAACCACACTCTATCCCTAGCTTCCTCCATAGCATCGGATTCTTCCAGGCTAGATCCTTCCCTTCTTGCTGCATACCACAGCCAATGTAACTAAAATAGTGTGACATTTACTTTCTGGATGTATGCCTAAACCAACAACTGCCCAGGACTTCAAGGGCCCTAAATCATTAGGAAGAGTGACCTTGGGGTATCAGAGCAACATAAAGGCTAGACTCAAATTCCAGCAGAAAAGGAGTCAATAACTAGAAATGAATAGGTGAAGGAAGCCATCAGTGACGAGGCTAGGCAACTAACCTGTTGATATACAAGAACATTGGCCTTTTTTGTCTTCCTCTAAAACCCCTATTTCATCTATGACACTATATACTACTGGCAATGTACAGTGTTGCTACTTAAACACCACTTGTTATGTATATAGCATATAATTAATACTACAAAATGATAATTTTATAAATGTCTTAAATGTTATTAGCAAGCCAAAGAAACAGGTTGCCACCAAGATGTCATCTAAATTCCACTGTTGAATATTAAATAATTACAATTAAAGCTTTTTATTCTAATGCCTGACTTAACTGGGCTTTATCTCAATCCAATTTAGATTACCTACAACTATCTAAAATATTTCTTCAAAAGCTCAAAAGACCTTTAAACGTGCATATAGTCTCACAACATTGTTTTGATATCAGGGAAGTGTACTAATTTACGAAAGATCAAAAAGTTATAGAATGGAACTTTGAAATCATTGCAGAAAGGTATTTGTACATTTTTAGACCAATTTCCTCCCTTTACAGAAGGGGAAATGAGGCCAAAGTATTACATTTTATTTATTAAGCTAATGGTGAGTGCATATAATTCATTTTTTAATTCTTTCTACTTTACATGGACACTGAATATATTCTTTTTGTGTTAGAAGTATCTCACAATTGAAAAGGAAGGAGGAAAAGAATGAAGAAGGTAGAAAACAAAACAAGAAGTAGAATCAGGAAAGTGAAGTTCTCCACACAAAGCTGGGACCAGACAGGCAGAGCCTCCAGCTTTTGGATGTAGAAGACATCCAGAGTGTGACATCTGCCATGCCTCCATCCTTCTGGATGTAGAAGACATCCAGAGTGTGATGTCTTCCATGCCTCCTGACCCAAACAAATCAAATTACCAGTCTAGTTAGGAGAACTTTGTCAAGAGGCATTGTTAACACCAAAGATCCAAACAAAATCAGAAAGCAACCTACTCTTACTCAAAAGCAATCTTACCTATGTAAACATTTTAGAAAATCTTTACCGAAGAAGCAAAAGCACCAATGAGTAGAATGAAACTTTAGCATTAAAAATGTGAGACATTCCATCAATGATATACTGGATTAAGAAAATGTGGCACATATACACCATGGAATACTATGCAGCCATAAAAAAGGATGAGTTCGTGTCCTTTGTAGGGACATGGATGAAGCTGGAAACCATCATTCTCAGCAAACTATTGCAAGAACAAAAAACCAAACACTGCATCTTCTCACTCACAGGTGGGAATTGAACAATGAGAACACTTGGACACAGGAAGGGGAACATCACACACTGGGGCCTGTCGTGGGGTGGCAGGAGTGGGGAGGGAAAGCATTAGGAGACATGCCTAATGTAAATGAGAGTTAATGGGTGCAGCACACCAACATGGCACATGTATACATATGTAACAAACCTGCACGTTGTGCACATGTACCCTAGAACTTAAAGTATTTTTTAAAAATCAATAAAAAAGTGAGACATTAATCCAAGTCAACTCTCCCAGAAGAAACATGAAAGTCAAAGATCTGCCACATATTATTTTCATTAATTTAATGTGCCCCATGGCTACTCAGCTCCAACAATGTGGTAACAGTAGTCTGTGGTTGATAACATGGTAGTCGCATAGGGTGCTAGAAAGGCAACTGATTGGAGTGGCCAGGCTCCCTGGACACCATTATGGCTTCCATGGGAAAGTGCTGAGGAGCCTTAATCAAGTTACTCACCCTCTCTATACTTTTAGTTCTTTCATCTATAAAATAAGACTAGAAAATATCTAAGGAAAAGCTACTAAAATCCCTATGACAAGAGCTTGGTTCTTCTACGTTTTGAGAGATCTACAAATAATTATGAAATCAAAAATCTAATTCAAAACACCAACTCTCTCATTACTTTGCAACACATACTATGTCTGGATATTGTAAAAGACTAAGTAAGTGCTTTTCAAACTTAGTTGGGCATCAGATTTTCCTGAGAACATCTTGAAACTCAGATTCCTAGGACCCAGCTCAGACCTATTAAATAGAAATACCTTGTGGAGGGGGTCCTTTGAGGATTAACATTTTTATAAAGCACCCTAAATGATGTGATGTATAGCTAGGTTCAAATATCATCATTACACTGGGCAATTCAGTAACTCAGGATCCTAAGGATACAGGAATATAAAAAAGGTTAACAGGTCTGGGTGTCTTCATGAATAATTAAGGTTTTCTTTTAAATAGATCTTTAATGTGACCAATACATTTTTCATACACACCTCCAATCCAAACTGTGAATATGAGGGATGAAAAACTAAATTAGAAAGTCTGTTCAAGTCAATAAATAAGTCATGCCTTGGGAAAGTACAACTTCTCACAGTTAATGACATGAAAACATGAAAAGGAAATGAAGAGTGTTCTGAAAAGTGTGGGCTTTAAAAACCCACCCATCATTACTCATATGTCAGGAGGTTACCATCCTAAATGTCATTTAAAAGTCACAACAACATTATGGACATAATCATCCACTTATTACTCGAAAGTTTACCCAAAAGCTTCATTTCTCTAGATTTGGCTTTTTAAATGTCAGCATCTGAATCAACACAATGCAGTCCAAGCAAAAATTTCACACTGAAAGTGTCTGACAACAAGAGAAAAAAAACAACAACAACAAACAAGAGAAAGAAAACAAAAATGAAAGCACAATTTTTTAA
The DNA here is from genome assembly GCF_000001405.40 of Homo sapiens. NCBI lineage: Eukaryota > Metazoa > Chordata > Mammalia > Primates > Hominidae > Homo > Homo sapiens. Next base: position 71,967,604 of record NC_000014.9, on the reverse strand, counting down.
ATGTAAATTGTAGTCGTGGGTATCTAAGGAAAGGTTTGGGTTTATGGCTATGACTTTGAATAATTGATTACACAAAAGGACTTCCAAAGAAAATGCTTTGAATTGTCATTGGCTTCACAATCCAACCCTTACTGATGATACCTTGAGGATAATGTCCTACAGCAAGTAAGTTCTTGGTTGTAGCCAAAAGGCAGCCTACAGCATCAGGAGTAGAAAACTATATGAAAATCCCATAGTTCAAGTACAACCATGGTTTAAGTCAGTCAGGTTAACTAGGTTTAAAATGGTGTCAGGACCTGAGCTCACACTGTGCAATAAGTGTGTCTTCTTTCTAACAGACTGAACCAATTCAATGTCCCTTTTATGGTAATTAATATAGCAAATAAACATGAACATATATATATATATATATATACTCTTTACACAAGTTTGTCACACGAAAGTAAGATATAGTTTCATTACTAGTTGTCATTTCTCTAAAGAACTACAGCAATTGACATGTTAGTTACTAAATTAAACCAGAAAAGGGCCCCTTACTACCACCAAAAAGTAAAAACCAAGTTCTCATAAACCTGCAGGAAGTTTTTTTTTCCTGTAAACATAATACAAACATTCTAGTAGAAAGGTGGTTGGGTTACATGACCTTTGCATTTCTTATTCTTTAATAATCCATGAATTTGCAATCCTCTGAAGAATATAAAAATATTTTTATTGTTTTCCTGTGTCTTAAAAAAAAACTCACTGTATAAATTTGCTCTAGACAACTTATTAACAGCACCAACATTTAGAGATTTTATCATTTATTTCCTCTCCAAGTGTCACTGACTCTACAAGACCTAAACATGAAAAGAAAAAGAGATATTCATTACGGACCACATTGTGGTCTAAGTAGGATATAAGATGCCTCATTCGATTTATCTAAAGTGATCTTCACAATTACCTTCCTCCCACATTTTTTTTTCTTTTTACAGATGAAAAAATTGTGGCTCATGGAAGTTAAAGAACTAACTTACAGTCATACTGCTAAAGAGTGGTAAAGTTGGCATTTTAACCTAAGTCTCACTCCAAAGCCCATGTTCCTACCAGCCTGGCACGGGGTCTCCCAGTTTGGGGGTGGGTTAAGAAAGTAACAATGACTCAATGTCTATTATTCTGTATGTTTCACTAATTGCTGAGTCCCATTAACCTATTTTTTTCTTTATCGCAATTTAATAAGCATGATTCTTAGAGATGGGTTATCTAGACATTCTCTTGCAAAGCAAAGAATTACAGAATCTTACACTCAAAGCCAGAATAATTTGAGAACTCTATTTTTACAAGGAAAAGAGAAAAATTCACCATATTGATCATCCAGGAATATCTAGTTCCACATTGCCCATATAAGTAATACACAGAGCCTCTCAGAATGCACAGAACTGAGTAGAAACTCAAGTAGTTAGTGAAATGAACATTAACTTATTTCCTTATTAACATACAAGAGAGTTAGTTTAAATTTTCACAAACATGCAAACATCAAAAAGGTGTACAATAAGAAGCAATTATGTCAAATTCAGCATGTACTAAAATAAACTTATGTGCCATTTTCTTCCTTTAAAATGTATTCTTTTTCCAAATATCCCAATTTGAATTAATAGCACCAATGATTTTCATTTACCCAACGTCAAAAACCCCGTCATCTTTGACCCTCTACTTGCCGCCTATATTCCTTCAGTTTCCAAGTCATTTTTAATCCAGACTTTAATTCCTCTTATCAGTTTCTCTTAATTCTGAAGGTGATTTCACAGGCTGGATTAGTGTCTCTCCTTTCCCTCCTTACCTTTCACACAGACACAGAAATCTCTCTCCTAGAGCCTCCGCTCTATCTTGATAACAATCCATTCAGCACAATGGGGCAACAGTCATAATCCCAAAGAGATCTCAATCTTGCAACTCTTGGCACAGAAGTTTTTCTTGATTAAATTGTCTAATTCAACACTAACATCTGGCTCCAGCCAGCCTCTCTTCCCAAAATCCTATCTCCATTTACTCCTTGTAATGCATCCTATGTCCAAGCTAACCAGTTCCGGTTGCTGTTACTTTCCTCAGCTCTGTGCCCTTGCTGAAACATCTCATCACCTGGTATGTTCTTCCTCTCTGCTTTCCACATAAAGCAATCCTGCACATATTTTAAAACTGAGTTCAAAGACCACTCTTCCACAAGCCCATTCTCACCTCTGAGGCTGGGAGAACTGGCCTCCTCCTCTGAAATTATGTAACACTCTACTTGCACATCTATTTTGGAAATTAACATTTAGACTCTATAACAGTTATTTGTGTACATCTTATGTCTCCTACCAACTGTAAGCATCTCATACAAATATACCTCTCTATCTCCCACAGCATTCAGCCCAGATTTTGTACATACTACGAGTCTGAAGAACTTTCAGTTCATACATCTTACACTAAGGCCTTTCCACTGAAGGAGAATGTGTCTTCCCATCTGCATTGCTTAGGCAACCTTTGGGTTTAAAGAAAACTAAATGGCATAATATTTTTCAAGTGTTAAATACCAAGTGCTCAAGTATGAACTTCCTTGAATTTTAGAACTAGAGAACCAGAGGATGTGAGAAGAAAATATGCATTTATCAGTAAGGCAGTTTAGGCAGAAAACATTTGTCTTTTTATCAGCCCTACACAGAACACAACAGTCCACACGGACAGCACGCACGGCACTTGACCAGGCGCCTTACTTTGCAGTAAACGATCATGTTTGGAGAACTCTCCTCTGGGTCAGCAACCCCCACTGCTCTTTGATCCCCGGATCCTTGAGCCATCCTGAGTGTCTTCACTCACACTGCAAAAATAAATGAATAAACCATTAAGTCACGAAGGAATTATATAAAGAGGGCTTTGAAATGCAAAGAATTAAGTAACTTTTGGCAGATGCCATGAACAAAAACATGATATTACATGATACATTTTTTAAAGTTAGGGGATGATTGCAGTCTTACTATCCACAAATATTCTTCTAATCCCCAAACAACATGTTATTGATTTTCAGCTCAGAATCGCACACCCCAGGAGTGAATATACAGCAGTGTTTTGTTTTGTTTTTTTTTGAGACAGAGTTTCGCTCTTATTGCCCAGGCTAGAGTGCAATGACGCGATCTCAGCTCTCTGAAACCTCCGCCTCCCGGGTTTAAGTGATTCTCCTGCCTCAGCCTCCCGAGTAGCTGGCATTACAGGCATGTGCCACCACACCCAGCTATTTTTGTATTTTTAGTAGAGACAGGGTTTCTCCATGTTGGTCAGGCTGGTCACAAACTTCTGACGTTAGGTGATGCACCAGCCTCAGCCTCCCAAACTGCTGGCATTACAGGCGTGCGCCACCGCACCCAGCCACGGCAGTCTTAAATAATCTCCTGAAGACAGTTGAAGCCAATCATTTTGCTGTTGAGTTCACCTTGCCAAAGCTCATTTTCTGATTAATTCTATGCATTAAAATATGAATATTTTATTAGGGAAATCAAAATCCAGACCACAAGGAGATACCACTTCATACCCATTAAGATTATTATAATTTAAAAAAAAAAAACCTCAAGTAAGTCTTGGCAAGGATACAGGGAAATCAAAATCCTCAAACATTGCTGGTAGGAATGTAAAATGACACAGTCACTGCTGAAAACAGCTTAGTGTTTCCTCAAAAAAGTTGAACACAGAATTACCATATGATCTAGCAATTCCACTTCTAAGTACATACACAAACTAACTGAAAACAAATATCAAATACTTGTACACAAATGTTCATAGCAGCACTATTCACAATAGTTAAAAGGGGGAAACAACCCAAATGTCTATCAGTGCATGAATGGATAAATAAAACGTGTATATCCATACAATGGGATATCATTGAGCAATAAAAAGAAATAAAGTACTGACACACACTACAACGTGGATGAACCTTGAAAACATGCTAAGTGAAAACACGCTAAGTGTAAAAAGCCAGACACAAAACGTCACATATTGCTGGAGTCTATTTTTATGAAATATCCAGAATAGGTAAGTCCACAGAGACAAGAAACAGATTGGTAGCTGCCAGTAGCTGCAGGGAGGATGGAATGGGTGACTGCTTAATGGATACAGGGTCTCCTTCAGGGGCCTTGATAGAGGTGATGGCTGTAGAACACTGTGAAAGCATGAAATGCCACTGAATTATACACTTTAAGATGGCTAATTTTGTGTTATGTGAATTTCACCTCAATTAAGAAAAATAAATATATTTAATGTGGCCTTTTTGAAAAGCCTGAAAAGATAACAGTGAGATAAGAACAAGTATATGGAAGTTTTGAGTGAAGAAGGAAGTTCAATCCTTGGTATGACACTATATTTATTGTGTGACCTTGAGCAAGTACAAGAATCTTTTGGGTTTCTTTTGTTAATTTCCCTTTAAAACAAACATACCAAACACCTGCTATATGCTCTGAGTCATGCCAAGGCACCTTCCTCTACATTGTCCTCAGCAGTAAAATGTGAATTCCACCAAGTTCCCCGCAGGTAAGGGTCAAATAAGCTGAGTATGAGAGCAGAGTATAAAGCCATAAAAGTCCTATACAAATGTTATCCCTCATCTAAGAGGCTGCCTGGGTTATTTGCACAAAATTCAGAGGCTTTTCATCAAAGAAACTCTTATAAATACCATACGTGACAGAAAAGGCCATTTCAATTCAAAATACAAATTCAGGAAACATTTTATTATAAAACAAGTTGCTACCAAAGGTCATTCCATAAAAACAAATTTGGGTGGAAAATGGGAGAGAGAGGAATTTGTAATTTATGCTAAGAATTTAATTGCCGAAAATATCCCATTCGAATAACACTACCTGCTTTCTTCACTATTTATAAATTACAATGTTTTTTAAAATTAGATTACATAAAGAGGTAAAGAGCATCATTCTATAATATTATCTCTATACACTGTAATATCAGGATTTCTATGAATATAGTACTACATGGAAACACTGATTACCATTCTAACCAATGGCTTTTAAAATTAAATGAACAACACACAGTTTTATTTTTAAACAACTACTTAGTTGCCTACTCCTTTGCCTTAATACAGAATACAACAGAGCATGAAAACAAAAATTGAGTTCATTTATATATACTCATGTATCCATGTAATAGAGACGTTTTAAGTTTCTGTCGCTTTATTTTAAAATGAACACTTTAATGAGCACATTCTCTTCTATCTAGAAAACTGTATTATAATAGCAAGGTTAGAAATGACCTAGAAACAAACGTGTCAGGCCTCCCTCTGCCCGGCCTCCCTCTGCCCAGCCACCCCCTCCCACCAACAGAAGCATTTGTGTGTGTTAAAACAGGCTGATGTTCCAGAGTCTAGACTGGAAACTACTAAGTGAATGCAGATAGTCTCTGTGTGAAGAATTTTAGTAAGCCTCGTATTCAGTAGAAATGTTTCTATTTTTGGTTCCTCTATTAACTCGTTTTGAAACTCAGACAAGCTATTTAGCTTTCCTGTGTCTAGAAAGAATCATTTCTAAAATAATAATATACTTTCTAGTCCATAGGTCAACAGATGTTATAGAGAACTGGATGTGAAACCTACATAGGTAAAGATTTTCTAATTAAATTCATTGACTATTAAAGCTGGGGCTTGTGAAATTAAAGGACTAGGTTTTCATTCATTATAGTATGATGTAAAATACTTCTTTTAAATGGAGTACAATAGAAATGGGTTTAAATTTAGTGGTAGAGAAAAACAGAATGTTCTTCATTGTACTTATATATACATATATATACACACAGTAAACAACCCAGGGGCTTCAATATTAACATTTGAAGAATGTGAACATTTTTCTGAAAACATGTAACTGCATACCAAAAGAAAGAAAGCATGTTAATATTATTTTCCTATATGGACTCACAGCTAACCCAAGAGGAAAACTGAAAATGGGCTAGGACCTTGCATTTCACAGTCTTCAAGAAGAGACAATACAGCTTGATGGTTACAAGATGCCTCTCATTAGACAGATCCATGTCCAAATCCAGGCTCCACCACTTCCTAGCTGTGTGATCTTAGGCAAGTTCCTTCTCCTCTCTGTGCCTTTAATCTGTTATCTGTCACACACCATAGCCCCAGCATAGTGGAAAGCCCTCTGAACTAGGAGTCCTGGTATCACCCCACCCCTAGCTCCTTTGCAACTAACCAACTATCAGAACCAGGACACACAGCTTCCCTGGACCTCAGTTGGGCATTGGCTATAAAATCCAGCAACCTTAGAGTTCCTTCCAGCTCTGAGCTAGACCCTCAGAACCTCACATTTCTAACTTTCCTTCAAAGGTTCTCACCAGAATGTTCCATGCCACGTGTCTCTGTCAATACTGCCTATATCCCAGCCCATCTCCTCTATTCATGACAGCACTCAATGTCTCAAAGAATAAATCACAAAACCACTGCGGTGGAGCATCCCCCATCTGACTCAGCATCCCTCCCCATGACGGAATTCCTATACCACACCACCCACCCTCAGGTTCTTTGGAACTCATCATTTATTCTTTGAGCAAATATACTGAGCATCTACTTTTGTAAGGTTCCATGCTAGGCCCTGGGGATATACAGATAAGTCAGACACAGATCCTCTCCTTAAAATGTTCAGAGACCGGTAGGAATAACAGATGTGTTCACAGAAAGGACACTGTAATATGTGGTTGCTCAATTATGATGGCACAGAGTAGGAGGAGGTGACAGATGAGCAGAAGCCTGGGAGAGGCAAAGTTTGCCATTCCAGCCAAGGCTATGCACACACACAGGCATAGAAATCTGAAGCCCCAGAAGCGGCTCAGCTTTGTGCTAGACAGTCAAGAGAAAAAAGCCACAAAGATAATCTGATCCCAGAAAGATTAAGTGGGAGACAGCCAAGTGTGGAGAGTGAGATAACAGGGATTCGCAACTATCTGAATCTGCGGGACTTTGTTTACTTGTCTATCAGGGACTTCCTCTCTAGAAAGTCAGTTCTTCATAGGCAGGGACTTTATCGTTGGGGTTCACCCCTCTCTCCCTGGCACCTAGAGCAGAACCTGGCACATAGAAGGTACTTAAATATGTTTGAATGAATGATGGAACTGATAAAATTCCACCAGGATGCAGTGTCCTCCTTCCAGAAGATTCATCTGGATAACAAGCCATTAAAAGTGGCCAATAAAGAAGACTCTTGATCAACAAAGACCCATGTATAGCATCACACATAAAGATTTTCCCCAAGGTTTATTGATATGAACCAGCCTGGACTCAGCAATCCACTTCTGGAATTCATAAGCAATTTAGGTAAGAAGGAATATGTGGTGAGGGAAGAAAATATAGTGAAGGGGATGCTCTATGCATAATAGGACAATTGAGCACCTGTGACACAAACAGATTCGTGAATCATTGAAAGTCAGGATTGTGCCTGCAAGTCTACTCCAAACTGACACTGCATCTGTAACTTGCAGTTACAATAAATGCCTGCTGTTTACTTTATAATGCCAGCCCCTCTGGAACAAGCAAAGCCTAGGGTTCGGCAGCTAACAATGTTGAGCAGAGCAGGAAGGAAGGGCCTCGATGGTATAGGAAAAGGAAGGGCTTTGAAGTCAGACTGGGAATCACATCTCAGCTCTAGCCTCATTAAGGCTACTATGTGGCCTTTGACAATGGGCTCTCCCACCCTACGTTTCCAGCTCCTTGCCTGGAAGATGAGACCCCTCCATCACGCAGGGTTGCTTTTGAAGAGGGAAGACACTAAGTCATGGAAATGCCCCAGCACAGAATGAATATCGAAACTGACCAGTGACCTTGTTCTAAGCCAGGGTTTGGCCAAGTGAAATTCCCAGGCCACTGGCATCAGATTCAATGGAGAATCCCACCCCAACCCCCACCCTCAGATGTTCTGACTCGTGCATCAGAGATGAAGCCTTCAGCGGTCCAACAACCTCCTCAGGTGATCCTGACACAGAGCTAAGAGGAGAACCAACTACAATTACCCTACAATGTCACTGAAATTACCATGGCTTGCAACTAAATGCTTTAAACATCATGCCTGCCACTCTTAGTGCCCAGCCCTCAAAACCCTATTCAGGGAAATGCCATGTAGGAGAAGCAATCAAACTCTGACTGTAATATAGTTTGAATATTTATGCTGCCAAATAAGAATTTCTGTTGAAGTTATTTCCTCTCCTCCATATTATATCAAATTCTCATTGTTTGCCTCAGCCCATTAAAACCCAATGGATTTTTTTTTTCTGACATCAGCAACGTTAAGCACTTCAGGAAAAAAAATTTACAAGATGTGTGCTAGCTCAGTAGTACGAGCTTGTTTATATAGCTCTAATCTGACTGAGTGGGCAGGAATCCCAAGGGGAAAGAAGGAAGAACAACAGCTCTAAATAACAAATCACTCTTCCTGTTATAGCAGAGTATGCCAACTTGACATTTCCTATATATTCGAAGTTCAAATGTTCAATGACAGACAGAGTGTCCGTTTCAGGTAATGCACCAAGATCTTAAAGTACGGCAATAGCACTCAACCCCTAAAGGCCAATTTTGGTGGCACTGGAAGACACCCAGTATTTTACTGGGATATAATCACTTAATCATTTTAGGACATCGATTAGAATTCAGTGGTTCCCAAAAACTTGCCCAAGGACCGGAACTAGGCTAGCAGTCTCAGAATAACCTGGGAGATATTCTAAATATACATACTCCCGGTTCCCATGCTCCAGAAGTTCTGATCCAATAGGCCTAGGGTGGTCCCTGGAGATTTACAGATTAACCATTTTCCAGATGATTTGTAAGTACAGCCAGGTTTGGAAACCGCTGACCTAGATTCCATGGAGCCTGCCTTCCCTTCACTTGATCCCTTCCTCCCATCCCATGCTGCCTGATGTTTGGGCAGACATGCTAATGGGGGGGCTCCTTTAGCTTCCCATGTATTAAGGCAAAAACTCAATGAAATGGATACAACAAGGTTCTGGGGTCAAAAAAAACTGGCTTTCAATCCTGGCTATATCATTTAAGTGCTGTGTGGCCGTAAGCAACATATTTAGCCCCACTGGGCCTTAGTTTCTTCACCTATAAAATGGAACAAATGCTAATCACTCTGCAGCAGTGGTTCTCAGCCCGGCCTGCTGATTAGAATTTCTTGCACAGCTCATTACAGCAACCACAACAGGTGGATGTTATTATTCCCACGCTATGGATGAGAAAAGTAAGACTGAAGAGCACAGGTAACTTGCCCAAAGTAACACAGTTTGTCAGCCAAGCAACTAAAATTCAAACCCAGGACTGATTCCAATGCCCACAGTTTTTCCAACATGTCCATCTTGTGAAATCACCTACATAAAGTAGATGTTTGGCACAAAGCCTGGAACATAGTAGGTCCTCAACTAATCTGTGTTTCCTTCATTCTACTTGCTAGTTTTCAGTGAAGTTGACTTCTCCATTCCAATCCTACCTTAAGACTTACAAATAAATACAACGTTCTCTACACTATCACAGCTGCCTGACAGGCTAAACTAATTAAATTATCAAAGCTGCATATATATATATATATGCATGCATGAGGATTGCTTAAACCTGGGAGTTCAAGACCAGCCTGGGCAACATAGCAAGACCCAATCTCTACAAAAAAATACAAAAATTAGCCAGGCATGGTGGTGCGTTGCCTGTAGTCTCAGCTACTCGGGAGGCTGATGTGGGAGGATCACTTGAGCCCAGGAGTTGGAGGCTACACTGAGCTATGATCACACCACTGCACTCCAGCCAGGGCGACAGGGTGAGGACTGATCTCTGAAGTAAAAATAAAAATAAAAATTTTGCATTCCATCTGTTAAAGTTTCTAAAAATTAAGCTAGGAGGGAGAAGTGGAAAGATAGCCATGTAACAGGGCATGCTGGCCCTGGGAGTCCTGTTACTGCAATCTCTGCTGGAAAGCCAGGTCTACCCAGTCATCCTCTCTCACCAGGGCTCTGAACTCCACGCTGCTCTGGAAACCCCAACCCCTCCGACTCCCCACAGACTCATCCCACCCTTTCAACATTTCTGTAAATAGTATGCCCACTATGTCCTTCCATCTCCTCTCTGAACTTTAACCTTCTGTGACCTTAATGGAAACTTGCCTTCTCCTCTCCTACAGCCCTCTGTCCTCACGTCATATATCTGAAGACCAGGGAGTAGGGCAGGCAGCCTCCTGGCTCTCCACCGCTCCTTCAAATGATTTCCCTCCCTCCCTCCAACACAAATCCCTGCTCTGTGGCACTCAGGCCATCTGGCTCTGCCACTTTCTGCTCATCCTCACTGCTGTTTTTCACCTCCCTCCTGCTTATGCCTTCTCATTCCCTGAAGACTCCAGCTTCCGCCTCTCAGAGGGTTTCTTCTGCTTCCCTAACACCTTCACCACTTTCAGTGACTTTAACATCAGAGTCAAAGACCTACCAGAAAAGCCAGTTTCTCAGTTCCTTATTTCCTCACCTGAAGCTTTTTCCTTCTGAGTCACTATCTCACATGGCCACATCCTAAACTTTGTCATCACCTCAAATCCCACTACAAGCATCCTCCACTCTGTCCACCCTTCCTCTGTTCAGCTCACTTACTTACTCTGCATTCACTGCAAACAATCTTCAAACTTATTTAGACATTTAATCCATTGAACACACAGCACTTTTACTATCCATTCCTACCCTTCGCTTCACCTTCACTATTCACACTGGCTCCATCATTATACTCACTCATAATCACTCCCTTGCACATACCCTCTACTCCTGCATCTCCCCTTGTGATGGTTAATACTGAGTGTCAACTTGATTAGATTGAAGGATGCAAAGTATTGATCCTGGGTGTGTCTGTGAGGGTGTTGCCAAAGGAGATTAACATTTAAGTCCGTGGGCTGGGGAAGGCAGACCCACCCTTAATCTGGTGGGCACAATCTAATCAGCTGCCAGCAAATATAAAGCAGTCAGAGAAACATGAAAAGGTGAGACTGACCTAGCCTCCCAGCCTACATCTTTCTCCCTTGCTGGATGCTTCCTGCCCTCAAACTTGGGACTACAAGTTCTTCAGTTTTGAGACTCGGACTGGCTCTCCTTCTTCCTCAAGCTTGTAGACAGCCTCTTGTGGGACCTTGTGATCATGTAAGATAATACTTAATAAACTCCTACATATATATACACACACACACTGTTATATATATACTATTGTATATATAAAAATAGAATATACACACACACACACACACACACACACACTATTAGTTCTGTCCCTCTAGGGAACACTAATACACCCCCTTTCTGTGTCACACTATCCTTACCAAATTCCAACACTGATGGAACCCAACTATCCACCAACCCCAAGCTCCCATCCAAACAGATGAACACTTTGGGATGGAGAGGAAGTCACACAACCAGGCTGACTAGCTGCATTAAATTCATGGCCACAAACATTAAATGAATAGTCAACACTGCCTGCCAAACCCAAAATGTTTTCCTACCAAGCTTGTTTCTCCCTTTCTGAGATGGCTATGTCATATCTTTTCCCAGCTCATATTTAACACATAGTCTTAGCTGATGAGCTCACTTCAAAATTCATGGAAGAAATGGAAGCCAGCAGAAGGCAAGTCCCTCATCTTCAGACACCCTCACTGAAGCCACCATGTTCTCCATCTTCCTTTTTCTTATGGGGGAAAGTTTTTCTGTCAGAGGAATTTGAACCAGAGCAACTCCATCTTGAGTAGGGGCTGGGTAAAATGAGGCTGAGACCTACTGGGCTGCATTCCCAGAGAGTTACGCATTCTAAGTCACAGAATGAGACTGGAGGTCGGCATAAGATACAGGTCATAAAGACCTTGCTGATAAACAGGGTGTACTAAAGAAGCCAGCTGAAACCCACCAGAACCAAGATGGTGATTAGAGTGACCTCTGGTTGTCCTCACTGCTACACTCCCACCAGCGCCATGACAGTTTATAAATGCCATGGCAACATCAGGAAGTTACCCTATATGGCCTAAAAAGGGGAGTCAAGAATAATCCACCCCTTGTTTAGCATATAATCAAGAAATAGCCATAAAAATGGGCAACCAGAAGCCCTCAGGGCTGCTCTATCTATGGAGTAGCCATTCTTTAATTCCTCTACTTTCTTAATAAACTTGCTTTCAGTTTACTCTACGGACTTGCCCCGAATTATTTCTTGCGTGAGATCCAAGAACCCTCTCTTGGGGTCTGGATTGGGACCCCTTTCCTGTAACGTTACCATTTACCAAAGGGAAGTTATTCCATCCTTGCTCTTAATTAGATGGTTAATAGAACATTACTGCTCACATATGCCCTACCACCACACCAGCCGGGCTCAGGTGTAACAGTGGATTACAGATAAAAGACTTCCAAGACACAGCGTCCCTGAGGAATAGTAGTTAGGGAAACCTAAAGTCAAGAGAGGAGACAAAAACAAGGACCCTTGGGGGGATTTGAAGCCTCTAGCACCTACAGCTCAGCAAACACTAAACACAACCCAACTCCTAGCCAGATTAAGTAAAACCTCACACTAAGTGCCTACCTACCTCAGTTCCTATGACCCAACACATCATGTCTGGCTTTCAACAAAAAATTACAACGCATGGTGAAAGGTAAGAAAAACACATTCTGAAGAGACAAGCAATCATCAGAATCAGACTCAGATATGTCACGGATGTTGGAATTATCTGTGTCATTAACAGATAGGAAATTTAAAATAACTATGATGAAAAATGTTAAGGATTCTAATGGAGAAAGTAAATGGTAATGAAACCAGAGAGAAGGAAACATTTTTTTAAAACTCCTTTGAAAAGGAAATGCTAAAAATCAAAAACACTGTAACAAATGAAGAAGGCTTTCCATGGGCTCATCAGCAGACTCAAATGGCCAAGAAGAGTAAGACCTACCATTTGATAGCACAAGAGGGTGACTAATGTCAATAACAACAACTCAATTGTACATTTTAAAATAACTAAAAGAGTGTAATTGGATTGTAACACAAAGGAGAAATGCTTGAGGGGATGGACACCCTATTTTCCATGATGTGGTTATTATGCATTGCATACCTGTATCAAGATATCTCATGTACCCCATAAGTATACACATATGTACCCATAAAAATTAAAAATTTAAGAAATTTTTTAAGACTCCATGAGCTTGAAAGTCAATCATGAATTTCCAAACTAAAAAGAGAGAGAGAATTAAGGGAGGAAAAAAACCAGAGCAGAATATTCAGGAACTATAGAACAATATAAAAAGCTGTAACATAAATGTAATCAGAATTCCAAGAAGAGAAGAAAGAAAGGAGAAGAAATATTAGAAGGAATAATGACGGAGAACTTTCCAAAATTAATGACATACAATAAATCACAGATCCAGAAAAGTCAGTAAACACCAATCAGGACAAACACCCAAAAAAAGAAAAACTACATCTAGGTATATCATATTCAAACTGCAGAAAACCAAAGACAAAGAGGAAATCTTAAAAGAAGCCAGATTCCTTACCTATAGAAGAATGAGGATAAGAATTACAGAAGCCATGCAAGCCAGAGTGTGGAGTGAAATACTTAAAATGTTGAAGGAAAAAAAAAAAAAAAAAAACGCCCACTTAGAATTCTACATCTAGTGCAATTATCCTTCAAAAGTGGAGAAAAAATAAAGACTTTCACAGACAAGCAAAAACTGAGGAAATTTATCACCAGCAAACCTGCTATGCAAGAAATGCAAAAAGAAGTTCTTCAGGCAGAGGAAAATTATACAGGTCAGAAACTTGGATCTCTAAAAAGAAAGAACAAGCACTGATGAAGGAATAAAGGTAAAAACAACATATTGTATTTTTCTTATTCATAATTGGTCTAAAAGAAAAAAATAGACCCTTTTGAATAATGTTCATAGGACAAAAAAAATATTTTTTAAAAGGCTAGCATATGAATGCCTAACACAGAGCTCTGGAACAGCCCTTGACAATTTAACTGACTCAAAGGTTGGTAAACTTGGGCCCATGGGACAAATCTAAGCCTGTTACCTCTTTTTATATGATCTCTTTGCTAAGAATTGTTTTTACATTTTTAGATGCTTGAAAAAAAAGTTGAAAGAACAGTATTTTATGACACATGAAAATTGTATGAAATTTGAGTTTGTGTCCATAAATACACTTTTATAAATAAATGCCCATTTGTTTACTTATTGTCTATGATCACTTCTGTGCCACAACAGCAGAATTGAGTTGTTGTAACAGGGACTGTATGGCCCACAGAACTCAAAATATTTACTATTTAGCCCTTTACATTACAATTTTTTCTGTCCCTTGAACAAGTCCAAGCCTTTGGTTTTCAGAGGATGGCACTAAGACCTGGGAAGGTCAAGTTGCGTTCTAATGCCACCCTCCTGGTTAGCAATGAGTCAGCATTTAGAGCTTGGGTCTTCCCTCTCTTCTCACATGAGAGGGCTTATATTTTGTTAAGTATGGGTTCCAAGATTATAGTTTCTAATACTACTGACTATTGGGACTGCAGAAATAACATTTTATTATTCTCTTATTTCGCATGAAAGATTGTATCACTGCTAGAGAAGAAGTGGGAGTGACAGAGAAGCGTTGCCAATTTTTATACACAAGAAGTGGATGACTAAGAGATGAAGAGGATGACATGTTCCCAGGGGACCTAAGAAGAAAAGCACTCCTATTGGCTTTTTCTTTTTTAAAGAATGTCAGTTTTATTCCTTGGGATTTCATTGTTTTCTTTCTTTTTTAAAAAGGAACAGGTAAAATCAGTATGTTTATATGTAAAACATGGCATTTAAATGTAATATAAGGTGCACCCTTTCAATGACTCCATAATGCCTCCATTTGTAGCAGCAATGGTAGACTTTTCCTCTTAAGATAGCAAAATTTAACAAAAGAAAATCTTTTCATAAAGCTTACCAGCCAAAAGCAATATAGATCAAAGAAATAACAATTGAATAGGTTCTCGGGGGTTTTACAGTTTTACTCATACCGTGTAGATGGCAGACAAAAATAGTACAATTTGAATTTACAGTACCAATTCCTACAATGATGATCTAACTTGTAACAGTCCAACCCTCAAGAAAATCTAGAAAGGTAGATATGGTATAAAAAGAAGAGCTCCCAAGGCAATGAGGACACATGGGATCATGATCCAAGAGAAAAAGGAAGTACAGAGGTGAGCCCGCTATTCTGTGCAATTATGGCTTTAAGGCATTTAATCAAATTCAACACCTCTTCATGAAAATACTCTTGGCCAATTTTAAATGTAAGGGGGCTTGCTTGATCTGATAAACGGTATTTGTAAAACACTTACAGAAATATTTAATAATATTTAATAGTAAAACATGGAAAACTTTCCCACTGAGATTGGAAATTAGACAAGAATGCTCACTATCACCACTTCTATTCACCATTATATTTGAGGTCTTAGCCTATACAACAGGCAAGAAAAACAAATACAAGTCGTGATAATTAGAAAGGTAAAAGTAATAACTCTTTTACAAGTAATTTAACTGTGTACATGGAAATTCATAATAATTTATGAATGCAATTACTTTTGCACCAACCTAATACACAGAACTATTAGGATTCAGTGAATTTAGCAAAGTCAATGAATACAAGGTCAATATATAAAACTCAATTGTATTTTTTGTATATCAGCAACAATCAGAAAATGATATATTTTTAAAGGTATTATTTATAATAGCATCGAATAATTTCAAATACTAGGAATATATATTTAAAAGATGTGCAATAATTTTACAATATAGAGGGATACAAAAATGCTGACAGACGTGAGAGACAGATCTAAATAAAGGAAGGGATATTCCATATTAATGGATTAAAATAGCCAACACTGTAAAAACATTAATTTACTCCCAATTTAGGCTAGAGATTTAATGCAATCCCAATCAAAATCCCATCAGAAGATGACTTTAAAATTTATACAGTAATGCAAATGGTTAGAAATAATGAAGCTATTCTTTTTAATTATATATTATGTTAAGTTCTGGGGTACATGTGCAGGACGTGCAGGTTTGTTACATAGGTAAACGTGTGCCATGATGGTTTGCTGCACCTATCAACCCATCGCCTAAGTATTAAGCCCAGCATGTATTAGCTATTTTTCCTGATGCTGTCCCTCTCCCCATCCCCCCATCCCCAACAGGCCTCAGGTGTTTTTCCCCTCCCTCTCTCTACAGGTTCTCATTGTTTGGTTCCCACTTATGAGTGAGAACATGCAGTGTTTGGTTTTCTGCTCCTGCGTTTGTTTGCTGGGGATAATGGATTTCCGCTCCATCCACGACCCTGCAAAGGACATGATCTCGTTCCTTTTTATGGCCACATAGTAGTCTATGGTGTATATTACCATATTTTCTTTATCCAGTCTATTATTGATGGGTATTTGGGTTGATTCCATGTATTTGCTATCATGAAAAGTGCTGCAATGAACACATACATGCATGTATCTTTATCACAGAATGATTTATATTCCTTTAGGTTGATACCCTGTAATGGGATTGCTGGGTCAAATGGTATTTCTGCCTCTAGGTCTTTGAGGAATCACCACACTGTCTTCCACAATGGTTGATCCAATTTACACTCCCACCAACAATGTAAAAGCATTTCTCTCTCTCCTCAGCCTCGCCAGCATGTTGTTTCTTGAATTTTTAATAATCACCATTCTGACTGGTGTGAGATGGTATCTCACTGTGGTTTTGATTTGCATTTCTCTAATGATCAGTGATGTTAATCTTTTCTTTCATGTTTGCTGGCCACATAAATGTCTTCTTTTGACAAGTGTCTGTTCAAGTCCTTTGCCCACTTTTTAATTGGGTTGTTTTTTGCTCATAAATTTAAGTTCCTTGTAGACTCTGGATATTAGATCTTTGTCAGGTGGATAGGTTGCAAAAATTCTCTCCCATTCTGTAGGCTGCCTGTTCGCTCTGATGATAGTTTCTTTTGCTATGCAGAAGCTCCTTAATTATATCTCATTTCTCAATTTTTGCTTTTGTTGCAATTGCTTTTGATGTTTTTGTCATGAAATCTTTGCCTGTGCCTATGTCCTGAATGGTATTGCCTAGATTTTCTTCTAGGGTTTTTATAGTTTTTGGTTTTACTTTACATCTTTAATCCATCTTGAGTTAATCTTTGGATAAGGTGTAAGGAAGAGGTCCAGTTTCAGTTTGCTGCATATAGCTAGCCATGTCTCCCAGCACCATTTATTAAATCCTTTCCCCATTGCTTGTTTTTGTCATGTCTGTGGAAGATGAGATGGTTGTAGATGTGCAGTCTTATTTCTGAGATCTCTATTCTGTTCCATTGGTCTATGTGTCTGTTTTTTGTACCAATACCATGCTGTTCTGGTGACTGTCACTTTGTAGTATAGTTTGAAGTCAGGTAGAGTGATGCCTCCAGCTTTGTTCTTTAGAAGTTATTCTTAAATAAGAACAAACTAGAGGGTGCACACTACTGAATATCAAGACCTCCTATAAAGCTCACGTAATTAAGACAGTGCGTTATCAATATTATATTAGAGAAATAGAAAAATGGAATGGACTAGAAAACACAGAGACAGACCACAAATGTGACTGATAACAAAGGTGACATTTCAGAGTAGTAGAAATGAAGAGATTTTTCAATAAGTGGTGCTGGGTTTATTGGATATCCATAAGTAAAACAAAACAAATACGGATGCCTTTATCACACCACAAACAACAATCATCCACAGGTAGATTTTTACAACCTAAAGATAAAAGGCTAAAAGGCAAAAAAAAAAAAAAATAGAGCTTCTATAAATTAAAACAGAGTAGCTTCATAGCCTTAGGGTAGGCAACAATTTCTTAAGTAGGCACAGGAAACAATAACCATAAAGAAAGAGACTGATAAGTTAGATTATATTCAAAGTGAGATCTCCAATTCATCAAAAGAGAGTGAAAGGCAAACCACTAGAGCCGGGAAAAGATATTTTAAATACATATGACAGGCAAAAGTATTTGTATTAAAAATTTGTTTTTAAAAGAAGATTTCTACAACTCAATGAGAAAAAGATTAAAAATCTAATTTAAAATAGGCAATAAGCTTGAATAGGCACTGCAAAAGACAAATAAAAGTGGCAAAAAAAAATTAAAAAGGCACATCATCATCAGTCACCAGAAAAATGCAAATTGAAGCCATAATAAGACATCACTACGCACCCACCAGAATGGCTAAAATTCAAACATTTAACAATCTCAAGTCTTACCAATGATATAAAGAAACTGAAACACTCATGAACTGATGATAGGAATATAAATTGGTGCAGCCACTTAAGAAAACTCTTTGTAAGGATCGAATAAAGCTGAACATATGCACACCCCATGGCCCAGCAATCCAGTCTTAGGTGTGTATATCAAACAGAAACACATTCATATGTGTGTCACAAAACACATACAAAAATATTCATAGCAGCACTATTCATATGTCTAACCTAGAAATATCCCAAATGTCCCTCAACAGTAGATGAATAGTTTGTGGAATATCACAAAGTAGAATACTATATAGTAATAAAAATAGTCTACTGCTACACATTGCAACATAGATGAATTTCACAAACAATGTTGTGCATAAGGATCTAGAAAGAAAGTGTACAGGCATATATGTATGATTTCATATTTATTTCATTTGTTTCAAAAAAGAGAAAGTTACAGTGTTAGAAATCAGGTTAGTGGTAGCTACTTGAGAGGCTGAAGTGGGAGGACTGCTTGAGCCTAGGAGTTCCTGGCCATCCTGGGCAACACAGTGAGACCTCATCTCTTTAAAAAAAAAAAAAAAAAAAAAAAAAAGAGAGAGAGAGAGAAAGGAAATCAGCTTAGCAGTTACCAATGGGAAAAAAGAAATATGTACTTACTGGGAGGGCCCATGAGGTGGTTTCTGGAAGAACGGTAATATTCTCTTTCTTGATCTCAGAGAGATAACATGGATGTGTTTACTGCTTGAAAATTTATTGAACAATGATTTGAATACTTTTCTGTAAATATGTTATACTTCAGTAGAACTGTATGTTTGAAAAAGAATAGTGCAAATAAATGCAGATCTGGAGGAAGGATGCAGCATATTGGGTTCTCAAGGTGGCATTGCAGCCCTCTCACATACAGTGATGCAAAAAATGACATCATGGCAGGGTTATAATTGCAGGGATGATGAAGGAGCCAGAGGTTGTGTCTGTTACCACTGTGGACTGTCCTGGCCAGAGTATGCCTCATTATCAGACACACAGATCGAACCATCGTAGACATGTGACTAATCAGGACCAAAGTCCTTCCCTGAGACTGAGATAAGGACGCTGGAAGAAAGAAGATTCCTCCCCTGTGAGGTGACTGTTGAAAAGATGTGAGGGTAGAAATATTAGTGACCATCTTCTTCTTCTCTCGTGCCATAGAAGGAGGAAGTCAAGAAGACAAGGTGTTGAGTAAGAGTGCTGACCACATCATCTAAGTCCCTGGATCCAGCTAAGCCTGAATTCTCAGATTATGTGGTCAGATAAATTTATTTCTGCTCGAGATACTTGGATTTTGCTTCAGTTCAGTTGGGTTATTGGTATTTTTTTGTTTAGTCTGCATCAGAGAGAAGACTAAATCCCCATCACTATCAACACTATTATATGGCATTCAAGTTCCTTCGCACACTGGCCTCAACTTGCACTTCTAGTTTTATCCGTCACTGTTCATCTTCATATACCCAACAACATGGTAATCTCAACTACAGAAAACTCCCCCAACCAAGAATTCCCAATAAGCAAAGTTCAACTTATACCTATTTCCAAATACATTTTTGATAGTCAATTGGTCATTTTAAGAATAATTAGAAAATATAAGAATCTCGCACCAGTCTAGGCAATATGATGAAACCCTGTCTCTACAATAAACACAAAATTAGCTCAGAGTGGTGGCACACGCCTGTAGTCCCAGCTACTTGGGAGGCTGAGGTGGGAGGATCACTTGAGTCTGGGAGGTCAAGGCTGCAGGGAGCCAACACCACGCCACTGCAATCCAGCCTGGGCAACAGAGTGAGACCCTGTCTCGAAAACAACAACAAAAAAGACTCTTGGGATTAGAAACAGATTTTTTTTAAGTGGGGGAGGGGGTTTTAAGGCAGATGGCAGGCAGCGGAAGTGATTTTTGCAGAGAAGCTTTTGAAAGCTTAAAGGAAACCAAAAAATGAAAACCTGGAATTGGCAGCATATGCTTTGGCATGACACTAAATACCCTAGGCATGGGGGTGAGGTATCTGAGGACTTCCTGATCAGTCATGCCAACTAAGTTAAATAAAGTTTACCCCAAGATGTATCTATCCACTTTACCCTTTAGCCACAGGGAGACCCAGGAGTCAGCAGTCAGCCTCTCTGACTGAAAGGCATTGAACATTTGTATAGTGAGCCTGGCATGGAGGAGTGCCCTTGTGCATAAGAATTGTACACTAACTGTAATAAAGCAAAACTACCTGTAAGCATTTCACTGTAAGGGGGGCTGACAGCCTGAAAAACAGCAAGAAGTAACTGGAAATTCACTGTGGCACACTGCTCTTACCAACATAAGGTGAGTAAAATGTCACTCATAATCTACTTTTGTTTTCTCATTTTACTTTCAGTAAATATGACAAATACTTATTGAACAGTTTTGCTTAAACCTAGGTTTCCCCTATCCTTGTTTTCATTAAAGTTTTAAGTTCATCAACACGGACTCCTCCTGCCAGAAAGGTTTTTAAGGACCTCACTCTGTATGGGGGGTATTAAATATTCTTTGCACATTCCTTGCATTTGATCACCTGTATAATTTTGTTTACATTGAAATGCCCCAAGTACATTCTTGCCATCTCTGTCCCCTGGCCCCATTTCTGCAGGCCCCAGACCTCTAGGTCCTCCAAAGTCCAATTCATCTACTTAGCCTCTTCAGTGAAATCCCTCAGCAGGAAGTCATCTCTCCCTAACTTTCCATATATAGGCCTTGCTTACCACATTCCGTCTCTCCATTTGTTTTCCTTCTTCAGAATTTTAAGTTTCTTGAACACAGGAGCCATATCCAATTAATCATTATCTGGAAATGAGTCCTTGGTAGGAAGATAGATGCACTGTCTGACACGGACCAGCAGGACAAGGAGTGGGGAGGAGCAGCAGAGACCCCAGGCCAGCTGTGACCTGGGGTACGGAACATCCCGCCCCCGCAACCCCATTAATAGTTGACTAAACCAGAGATTGTTTCCAGGTACACACTCTCTTTCAGTAACCATCTCAAAGCAATCACAATTTCTCAGCCCTATTCTGCAACTGGGAAGAATGCAGATCAAGAGAGTTCAGCTACTTTGTCTCCTGTCACATACCCCTGGCTATCGGCAGAAACCAACAGCCAAGCCCTAAACTACCTGCTATCCTGAAAATGAAAGTCCCTTCACCTAAAAAAAAGTCTAAAATGTAATCAATATATTTATTCTTTGTGAATGCGTCCTTTCTATTTTGACCAGCTGCTGAATCAGTCTTTGTATTAGGATGTATGGTCAGCAAAATAATATAATGGCATCTTCCTGCTTGATTTGGAATCTAAACACTGTAGCATTTCCATAGAAGTTTAAGGAGAAAATATATTGCATATGTTATTTAATCTTTTTTTTCTACAGAGGTCACACCATAAAATACAGCCAGCTCAAAAGGTGTTTCTCTTGGATTGGGCAGTGTAGATATACATAATATTTTTCTAATTGAAATTGGTTAATAATTTTTAAATGAATTAAAATTTGGCAACAACAGGGCTTTCTGAGCAGCACATACTTCTCGCTTAAACACATTCTCCACCTGTCCCTAATGCAACCCCAACCCTGAGATCCAAGGTCAGGTGCCATTCATCATCACACGTGGATGGCTGTTCTGCTTCTAGAAAAAAGGAAATCTTATTTGGTATCCAGGTCTCTCTTGACAATGAGTCAGATGACCCCATATTTCAAGAAAAATAGATATAAATGTATTTCTGGGAGTAAAAACTTTCTATCTGTGTAATGTACAAACAAAACATGCTTTTGATTTGTAAAAATTACAACTTGTTACCATTGTGGAAGAAACCTCACTTGCTTCCCTCATTTCCTTTACCTAACTGGTCTATTGAGTGTTTGAGTTTGCAACTCATTTTTAAAATGCATTTTCTTCCTTCATTTCACAAATAGTTCTTAAACAATTAGTATGAATCAGAATCTGTGACAGATGCTGAATCTACAACAGGAAATAAAAGAGTCCCTGCTTTTATGGAATGTATATTCTAGCAGAGGGAGACAGACAATATATAAGTACATATAATGCAATGTCATGGTGATAAAGCTGTGATCAAAAATAGGGCAAGTAAGACAATGAAGAGCAATGAGAAGGGGCAGGAGTTATTATTTTAGCTAGGGTGGTCTGAGATGGCTTTAACTATAAGGAGTTTATATTAGCCCTTACTCTGAAATCAAACAATTGTTTTAATAACCAATTACAGTCATGCACCACAAGTCAGTGATGGACCACATACATGAAGGGGGTCCCATGAGATTATAACACCATATTGTTACTGTATCTTTTCCATGTTTAGATATATTTAAGTACAAAACACCACTGCGCTACAATTGCCTACAGTATTCAGTACAGTAACATGCTGCACAGTTTGTAGCCTAGGAGCACTATACCACATGGCCTAGGTGTACAGTAGGCTATACCATCTAGGTTGTGTAAGTACACTCTAGGGTGTTCACACAACAACAAAATCACCTAATGATACATTTCTCCAAATGTATCCTGGTCATTAAGTGACACGTGACTGTATTATTAACACCTTTCATCTGAAAACTTTGCCATTATCCCTTTTTGCACCTTTAAAGTTTATTCCTATTTCCTGAAGCCTGTCTCTTCCAGATCTGATGATAAAATGCTGTCTCTGAACTAAACTATAATGTGCTTACTGTCTTCATCATCTATTTGCTACCAAATCTGACTTACAAAATCCCCTGCATTTTTTCCTAAACTATCATTTAACATCTTTTATTGCTAATTTTCTATTTATTCCTATCATCTCTCCAATACAACTGAAATGATCTCAAGGGTAGGGTCTCTGTTTATTCCCCACCTTGTGCTATATAAAACAGCACAAGGACTTTGGGGTCAGAAAAGATCTGAGTTTAAATCTTGGCTCCTCAATGACTATCTGACTTAGGGCAAGTGACTGAACCTCGTTTCCACTCGGTTTCCTCATCTATAAAATGGGCATAATACCACCCAACATCTCTTAAAGGACTTTGATTTGCAAAAAGCTTAACAAATGCTGATTGTTATTTTGTAAGATCAGCCCACAACCATATGACGGACCCATAGTTTTGTAGGCTGAGCAAGTTTTTGTTTAGGCAACGAATTTTTATCAAGCATTTACTATGTGTATTGGTCTTGTGCTAGAGGTGGAGATAAAATTACAAACATAAATTATAAAACAAAACAAAAAAGCCAAACCGACCAAAGCCCAATGGAATAGACACACAATAATGTGAAACTAGGATGACAGTCTCACTATATCATGGATATGAAGTGGATCTTGCCAGGCAAAATCAAGCAAGCAATAAGAATGAAGGCTATAACCACGTGCACCTTGCATCCACACTCATACCAATCCATGCACCCCCACTAGTCCATGAATTCCTACCAATACTAGCCCATCCTTCCTCCTCCACCCACAGCTGTCACTCTGCAACTCAATAACTCAGCAAACATTTACCAAACTCCTACTATGTGCCAAGCACTGTAAGAAATCCCAAGGATGCAGAGAAAAAACATGGGCTTGCTCTGTGTGTCTGGCATAAGCCCTATCAATGCAGCAGCAGTCTCCTTTTTCACTTCTCTTCCTGCTGGTGATTAATGGCCTTTCGCCTCCAGGAAACAGAGGCATCTTTGGCTACCACAGAGATCTTGCCCACGCTGCCTTCTCCCACTTAGATGTGTGGGCCACTTGCTTTCTACAAGCCTCCTCAAATCCCAATGTGAGAACTATGGAGCAGGATTCTCAGAGACTTGGGAGTCCATCAAATGCTTGACTAACACAGCAATGCCTCAGGAACAGAAAATAAAGAGGAACCATTATCCTGAAACACTTATTTCTCAACAGACTCACTCTAAAAATTATTAGAAAACAGGAACTGTGCTGTGACAGTCCCATCTTCTTACGTGTCTGTGCTTTCTATGCCCCATACTTCATACAGGGTCCTCTATTCTCATGGTCACACATACTCAAAGGGTATTTTTTAAATTATTCTTTCACAGACGAGAAAACTAAGGTTCAGAAACACAATTAACAGGATTTTAAAATGCCTGTTGTGCTCCTTTAAGAACAAATAATAGCAGTTCTCTGTCTGAGCTCCAGACTAGCCAGGTCTTCATGAGAGCAACACAGGTGCCTGGGGTATTTCCAAGGGAGTGCCACCACCAGCTCTCATTCATGCAGGGGACCTCACCTCAGCTGGCTTTGTAGAATGCATGCTTCCATGTGTGCAAGAAAATAGGTTCTTGGGTCAAGCAGATACTAGTGAATGAGTGAACTCTACCATGGACAGATTTAAAGGTGGCTTTCTCTTTGATAGTTTAACCAAATTACTGTGAAATGCCAAGACAGCCTCTAAGACAATTCATTTGCATAGCCTGAGCTATTAATGAATGAGGATCTATTTTGTTCATATCCAAATATTTACACTTTTTTTGAAGTTACCACACATAAAAATGGTGGTTCTTGGTACCACCCTATGTTACTAACACCTAAGTAGAAGGAAAAGATATATTTTCTATATAAAAGGTAGCCACATAAGGATAATCAAAAGTTCTAACTGGGGTATTTCAGCCAGCTAGAATCTCCCAGCTATCAAATATACACATTCAATGTCACCAGAGGGAAGTGGTAAAGAACAACACCCTTTGGTATCAGGAGGCCTGGATCTTACTTCTGATGCTGCTACTTCACTTTGTGGATTTATGCAGGTTAATTTCTTTCTCTAAAGTTTTACATTTCTTCATTCATAAAATTGGGACCTATCTTATAGAATGGTGGTAGAGTTCTAATGAGCCTTTTTTCTTGGTGGGAGGGATGGGGGATGAGGAGAGGGGAGCAAGGAGATTGCTTGCTTTATCTGCTGCCTTGGTAATTAGGGTAATTAATAGTGAAACTTCCATTTTTTGAAATATGTGTATGTGGTAGAAAATAAATGGCCTCTTCCAGACCTGAGAGAGGTAACGGTGAAGTATTTGGTAGGCTTTGTGGTTTGTAACATCTCAAACAGGTATTCCTAGTTATTATTTAATGTAACTCATTAGGTTTAATGTTCAATTTAATTGCCTACTTATAAGCATTTTTGCTTTCTTTGCAGTTTGAAGTAGTGTGGTCCATGAATGATTATAACTCTTATTACAGGCTTAATGTTTCCAAATTCTGGATGATTATTCTTTTGTCTTGACTACTCCAGAAAGATATTCCTCCATAAGAGAAAACTAATATTGATTCAACCAATGCTTACTGAACACCTATTGGCAGGTATATTTTGGGGCACTGGATGGATGGCTGCAAAGAAAAGTCAAACAGGCTTTTTGGCCTGTAAGGAGCTTACTGTGAAAGCCTGTGAAAAGTCAAACAGGCATTTTGGCCTGTAAGGAGCTTACTGTGATGGTTAATACTGAGTGTCAACTTGATTGCACTGAGGGATACGGAGTATTGATCCTGGGTGTGTCTGTGTGGGTGTTGCCCAAAAGAGATTAAATATGTGAGTCATTGGGCTGGGGAAGGCAGATCCACCCTTAATCTGGTGGGCACAATCTAATCAGCTTCCAGCGAATATAAAGCAGGCAGAAAAACATGAAAAGGAGAGAGGAGCCTAGCCTCCCAGCCTACATCTTTCTCCCATGCTAGATACTTCCTGCCCTCAAACATCTGACTCCAAGTTCTTCAGTTTTGGGACTTGGACTGGCTGTCCTTGCTCCTCAGCTTACAGATAGCCTATTGTGGGACCTTGTGATTGTGTAAGTGAATACTTAATAAACTCCCTAAGACATATATATCTTATTAGTTATATCCCTCTAAGAGAAACCTAATACAGATTTTGGTACCAGGAGTGGTTCTAGATGAACAGAATATTAAGAATGGAGTTCTTTCGTTGGTTTTGGGGTTTCTGGAGTTGGCTGCTTAATATGATTAGACCCAAAAATGCTAAGGACTCTACTTCTAATAGTATAGAAAACACTGATAGTCCTTGGCAGAAACTGTTTAGAGAGTTATGCAAAATAAATGCCTTTGACACTCCTAATTCACCGCTCATGAGAGGCAGGGAGTTTAGCGACTCTGTACATAGCACATTTGACCATATGTGGAGAACCAAGGAACACAGTGAAGCAGGTTGGCTGCTCTTAAGTTCAACGGACAAAGTGATGAAAGAAAATGATGAACTCAGGGATTCTGTCTCCCAGCTTCAGAAGCAGATACTGAGCCTCAAATCTGCTAAGATTACACTAAGTGAGAGTCTTATCTCCTAGAGAAAGAGCCGAAATTGTGGAAAAATAGACACAAGCTCTTAAAGGCGGCCCACTGTGAGTGAGCTGGAAATGCCTGATCTCCCTTGGCTTAATGTACAGGAAGGAATCCAAAGGCTTAGGGAGATTGGGGTGGTGGAGTGGATTAGTCCCTTTAGACCTACTCATCCCAGCTGGGAGGGTCCAGAAGATATACCCTTGACCAATGCCTTGCAAAATAGACTTGGGAGGGCAGCACCTGCATCTTTGAAGAGCCCTGTAATTGCCATTCTCTGTATGTCAGATCTAATGGTGGGAACCACAGTCACTCAACTACAAAATGGGAATAATTGGATCCAGAGGTGGCAGGGACCAGGTGGCAGGGGTCAAGTGGCAGCACTCAACCATCAAAGGCAAGGTGAGCATAACTACCATAATGGACAGCAGAGGCAAAGTGGCAATCAGAATAGTCTGACTCATGTAGAGCTCTGGCATTGGCTAATTAATCATGGTGTTCCTAAAAGTGAAATTGATAGGAAGCCTACTGCATTCCTACTTCAATTACACAAACAGAAAACTTCTAGGTTGAATGGACAAAAGACTAATTTGAATTATAAAAACAGAGAATCACGGCTCCTCATTCAATTTCCAGACTTGAGCCAGTTTACAGACCCAGAACCCTTTGGACAAAGGGGAGGCTGGGTCCCCTTAAGGAAGGACTCCACTACATGACTGAAAATTTATGCAGTAGATCTTTCTCTCATCTTTCCCCAAGGAGACCTCTGGTCTTTTACCAGGGTAACTGCACTCGGGAAAGGAAAATGATCAGACATTTCGGGGACTACTGGACACTGGCTCTGAGCTGACATTGATTCCAGGGGACCCAAAACATCATTGTGGTCCTCCATTTAAGCTAGGGGCTTATGCAAGTCAGATAATTAATGGAGTTTTAGCTCAGGTCCAGCTTATAGTGTGTCCAGTGGGTCCCTGGACTTATCCTGTGGTCATTTCCCCAGGGCCAGAATGCATAATTGGCATAGGCATACTTAGCAGCTGGCAGAACCCCCACATTGGCTGACTAGTAGGGTGACGGCTATTATGGGGGGAAAGCCCAAATGGAAGCCATTAGAGATGCCTCTACCTAGAAAAATAGCAAATCAAAAACAGTATCATGTGCCTGGAGGGACTGAGGAGATTAGTGCCACCAACAGGGACTTGAAAGATGCAGGGATGGTGATTCCCACCACATTCCCATTTGACTCTCCCATTTGGCCTGTGCAGAAGACAGATGCATCTTGGAGAATGATAGTGGATTATCATAAGTTTAACCAAGTGGTGATGCCAATTGCAGCTGCTGTACCAGATGTGGTTTCATTGCTTGAGCAAATTAACACATCTCCTAGTACTTGGTATGCAGCCATTGACTTGGCAAATGCCTTTTTCTCCATTCCTGTCCATAAGGCCCACTAGAAGCAATTTGCCTTCAGCTGGCAAGGCTAGCAATATACCTTTACTGTCCTACCTCAGGGGTATATCAACTCTCTGGCTTTGTGTCATAATCTTATTCAGAGAGACCTTGATCACTTTTTGCTTCCACAAGATATCACTCTGGTCCATTACATTGACGTTATGCTGATTGGATCCAGAGAACAAGAGGTAGCAAACACACTGGACTTACTGGTGAGACATTTGCAAGCCAGAGGATAAGAAATCCAACTAAAATTCAGGGACCTTCTACCCCAATAAAATTTCTAGGGGTCCAGTGGTGTGGGGCCTGTTGAGATATTCCTTCTAAGGTGAAGGATAAGTTGCTGCATTTGGCCCCTCCTACAACCAAGAAAGAGGCACAACACTTAGTGGGCCTATTTGGATTTTGGAGGCAACACATTCCTCATTTGGGTGTGTTACTCCGGCCCATTTATTGAGTGACCCGAAAGGCTGCCAGTTTTGAGTGGGGTCCAGAACAGGAGAAGGTTCTGCAACAGGTCCAGGCTGCTATGCAAGCTGCTCTGCCACTTGGGACATATGATCCAGCAGATCCAATGGTGCTTGAGTTGTCAGTGGCAGATAGGGATGCTGTTTGGAGCCTTTGGCAGGCGCCCATAGGTGAATCACAGTGGAGTACTCTAGGACTTTGCAGCAAGGCCCTGTCATCTTCTGCAGGTAACTACTCTCCTTTTGAGAGACAGCTCTTGGCCTATTACTGGGCTTTGGTGGAAACTGAACGTTTGACTGGGTCATCAAGTCACCATGCAACCTGAACTTTCTATCATGAACTGGGTGCTTTCTGACCCATCTAGCCATAAAGTGGGTTGTGCACAGCAGCATCCCATCATCAAATGGAAGTGGTATATACGTGATCTGACTCAGGCAAGTCCTGAAGGCACAAGTAAGTTACATGAGGAAGTGGCTCAAGTGCCCATGGTCTCCACTCCTGCCACCCTGCCTTCTCTCCCCTAGCCTGCACCCACGGCCTCATGGGGAGTTCCCTATCATCAGTTGACAGAGGAGGAGAAGACTAGGGCCTGTTCACAGATGGTTCTGCACGATATGCAGGCACCACCCAAAAGTGGACAGCTGCAGCACTACAGGCCTTTTCTAGGACATCTCTGAAGGACAGAGGTGAAGGGAAATCTTCCCAGTGGGCAGAACTTCAAGCAGTGCACCTAGCTGTGCACTTTGCATGGAAGGAGAAATGGCCCAATATGCGATTATATATCAATTCATGGGCTGTAGCCAATGGCTTGGCTGGATGGTCAGGGACTTGGAAGAAGCATGATTGAAAAATTGGTGACAAAGAAATTTGGGAAAAAGTTATGTGGATGGACCTTTCTGAGTGGTCAAAAACTGTGAAGCTATCTGTATCCCATGTAAGTGCTCACCAACGGGTGACCTCAGCAGAGGAGGAGTTTAATAATCAGGTGAATAGGATGACCTGTTCTGTGGACACCACTCAGCCTCTTTCCCCAGCCACCCGTCACCACCCAATGGGCCCATGAACAAAGTGGCCATGGTGGCAGGGATGGAGGTTATGCATGGGCTCAGCAACACGGACTTCCACTCACCAAGGCTGACCTGGCTATGATCACTGCTGAGTGCCCAAATTGCCAGCAGCAGAGACCAACACTGACCCCTCCATATGGCACTATCCCTCAGGGTGATCAGCCAGCTACCTGGTGGCAGGTTGATTATACTGGACTTCTTCCATCATGGAAAGGGCAGAGGTTTGTCCTCACTGGAATAGACATTTACTCCGGATATGGGTTTGCCTATCCTGCACACAATGCTTCTGCCAAGACTACCATCTGTGGACTCACGGAATGCCTTATCCACCATCGTGGTATTCCATGCAGCATTGTCTCTGACCAAGGCACTCACTTTATGGCCAAAGAAGTGTGGCAGTGGGTTCATGCTCATGGAATTCACTGGTCTTACCATGCTCCCCATCATCCTGAAGCAGTTATATTGATAGAATGGTGGAATGGCCTTTCGAAGTCACAATTACAATGCCAACTAGGTGACAATACTTTGCAGGGCTGGGGCAGAGTTCTCCAGAGGGCCGTGTATGCTCTGAATCAGCATCCAATATATGGTACTGTTTCTCCTATAGCCAGGATTCACAGGTCCAGGAATCAAGGGGCGGAAGTGGAAGTGGCACCACTCACCATCACCCCTACTGATCCACTAGCAAAATTTTTGCTTCCTGTTCCCAAGACATTACCTTCTGCTGGCCTAGAGATCTTAGTTCCAGAGGGAGGAACACTGCCACCAGGAAACACAACGATTCCATTAAACTGGAAGTTAAGATTGCCACCTGGACAGTTTGGGATACTCCTATCTTTCAGTCAACAGGCTAAGAAGAAAATTACTGTGTTGGCTGGCATGATTGACCTGGACTATCAAGAGGAAATCAGTCTACTACTCCACAGCAGAGGTAAGGAAGACTACATATGGAACACAGGAAATCCATTAGGGCATCTCTCAGTATTACCATGCCCTGTGATTAAGGTCAACAGGAAACTACAACAGCCCAATCCAGGCGGGACTACAAATGGTCCAGATCCTTCAGGAATAAAGGTTTGGGTCACTCCACCAGGGAAAAGAACCTGCTGAGGTGCTTGCTGTAGGCAAAAGGAATACTGAATGGGTAGAAGAAGGTAGTCATCAATACCAGCTACGACCATGTGACCAGCTGCAGAAACAGACTGTAATTGTCAAGAGTATTTCCTCCTTCTTTTGTTAAAAACATGTTTGTGTATATATACACTCATACTAAGAAAATATCTTCATTTCCTTTTCCTTTATCATGTGACATAAGATTTATTGACTTCACAACAGCATGTAAGTATTGTTAACTTTATGTAATAGTATTTGCATTGGGGATTGGTGCATTTCTGGTTGTACAAAGGATAGTTGTATTATGTTATGCACAATTTTGACCTCATTATTGTCTTTATTTGAAGATTATGTATGATCTCAGGAGATATGTATGGGTTCAAGTTGACAAGGGGTGGGCTTTTGATGGTTAATACTGAGTGTCACCTTGATTGCATTGAGAGATACAGAGTATTGATCCTGGGTGTGTCCGTGTGGGTGTTGCCCAAAAGAGATTAAACATTTGTGTCAGTGGGCTGTGGAAGGCAGATCCACCCTTAATCTGGTGGGCACAACCTAATCAGCTTCCAGCGAATATAAAGGAGGCAGAAAAACATGAAAAGGAGAAATGAGCCTAGCCTCCCACCCTACATCTTTCTCCCATGCTGGATGCTTCCTGCCCTCAAACATCTGACTCCAATTTCTTTAGTTTTGAGACTTGGACTGGCTCTCCTTGCTCCTCAGCTTACAGCCAGCCTATTGTGGGACCTTGGGACCATGTAAGTTAATACTTAATAAACTCCCCTTTATAGATATATGGTATATGTACATATATCATATGTATATATATCATGTATAGCATATATATAGCATATATGTATATATGATATATATGTACATATATATATATATATATATATATATCCTATTAGTTCTGTCCCTCTAAGAGAACCCTAGTACACTTAACCCTCTAGTTTTCACTGTCACCAAACCAGCAGTCAGCATCATCCAGGGACTTGTTAGATATGTACCTTCTCGGGCCCCATCTCAGACAGAATCAATCAGAGACTCCCAGGATGACCCCCAGGTGTTTCTGTGTTTGAATAAGCCCTCTTCAAAGATCATTCTCATGTCAAAGCAATAAATACGTCATTAGCTTAATTAGTTAAATCTAAAAGTACCTTTTGCCCTTTAGGGAAACAGAGGCCCAGAGGCCACAGGAGAAGTTGGAGTAACTGCAACCAGAACTCAGGTCTCCCACCCACAATGGCCAATGACCTTTCTACTTCTTTTCTGATGCTTTAATCCCTAAATTCAAAAGGAAGCCCCAAGCATTACCAGCCCAAAGTGCAAACACTTGTTTTCAAAGAACAGAAAAAGAAAGAACCTACTCTTTTTGAAAATAAGGACCACCAGTAAAAACTAATATCTGATCAAAATCATTCTGTAAACAAGCAGTAAATTCCCAAGCCTTTAACACATTTCCAAGTTATATTTCCAAGCTATATTTTATATTTATAAAAATGTGTGGGGGAGGGGGACTGGGTAGAAATAATTGACTAGAATAATATTTGGAAGAATATACAGTTAAAGATATGTTAACAGTGGCTCCCTCTCCCTAGCAGATTATGGATAACCTTTATTTTTTTCTTTGTATTTTCCTGAACTGTTTCAATAGCTAAATATTACTTTTGGAATCAGGGGAAAAGTTAAAATTGTTTTTTGAAATATTATATCCATATCACTCAACACGAAAGTTGATTTTGTAATTCTATTTCTTTCCTTACAGCAGGATAGTGTGTGTATAGTAATTATTTATATCATGCCATATGTTACAAAGAAGATGAAATTTGGTAAATATATTCCTTCCAGCTGGAAACTGAAAATGAAGAGGTTAAATGCATTCCTAGGTTCAGAGCAATACCAATTAAGACAAGCTAACTGCAAAGCTAAAGGAAAAATTAATCCCGGTATTGAGATCTCTGACAGCATCCTTTTGAAAAATGTTTATGTGACACACAGCTCCTTATTCCATCCCCTGATATTTAACCCCTGGCACGAAACAGAATGTTCAGCAATTCCTGGCAAAGTCTTAGGAGTTCAGGGGATAAAATGCATGGGAGAAGATGAGAGACATAAGAAATGGAATGATTCTACTTTCACACAAAATTATGTCCCTGTAGACAAAGAGACATCCAAAATTACTGGCAAATTGTCCACAGTAACCTAAATTTATTTTTCTTTCTCAAGAAACGTCTACTTACTTCAAAAACATCTATGTTGCAGATCTTATTCTGCAAGTCAAAAATAAATAAATAATTAAAATGGACTCATTTAAATAAACATTTCTGCCACAAAAGCATTGTCATAATGTTTCACTTGATAAGATGAATTTATTGCTTCAAAGAAAATCTAGTCTTGTTTTACTGAAACTCTCAGCAATATAAATTCAGTGAATGTTAACTGAAATTCCTTAAAGAAAATCAGAAGTAAAGTTAAGATCTGCCAGAATAAATATATAAAAGGAAACACTGGTGGCCTCTCTCCTTCATCACAATACCTCCCAACAGCTGACATTTATAGAACTTGCAGACTCTTTCAGGAAAGGATGAGTTATTGGGAATAGACTCTCTCTACATATATATAGTTTATGGTGCATGAGATCATATTTACAGGACAATTTAGCTTAAGAGTGGTACAATATCAAAGAACTTAGAATTTATCATCTATAGCATGCGAGATTTGGCTTGCAAAGGTTTCTCTCTCAAGAGTCTCACCAAATGTCCCTCAGCCCTCTACTTTCCTTCACAGAGTAGTCCCACCCATTGAAAAAGTGATAAATTAAGAATAAAGAATATACATCTTACAGAAAGTTTCCCACCATAGTCCCAGTTCCCACTCTATGTAATTACCTATTTGCCTATGAAAATTGATATGTAAGAGCCGTGTTGTCAACACATTTAACTAAACCTAACAGTTTCCTTTCAGTCTTAACACTTTTTGACAGACCATACACACACAAACTTGTAGCTCATTCTCTAACTCCATTTTGATACTTACAAGCCCAGTTCTTCCATCTCTCACCCTCCCTGGAAAGAAAGTCCAGTGGAAGTTTTACCTAAACTTGATTATTTTTGCGTTTTTCTTTGGGGTTGTTAAAGGTATTGATCAGAACTCACCTCCCAAGCATTGATAATCCCAAGCCGACGAGACCCCAAATATCTTCAGTTTGTAACATAGAAATGCTACTGGTCTCAATGACAGAGAAGGAAAATAACGTTCCTACTCCGTCAAATTAAGAAACAAAAATGAAATACAGCAGCTTTCATTCTGAACAAAACTAAATTTTCTGGGTCACTTTCCCTGTCTCACTGGGCCACTTCTTTACGCAGCCTGCTGGTGACTGTAAACACGGTCTCTTCACTCCTCACGCAACCAGTTCATTTGTCATCCTCTCCAAGCGAATAGCCACCGCTTCCTTTGCTAGCGCAGTTCCCAAACAACAAACCTCCCCACCCGCCCCTGCCCTCCACACCTCACCGCGGAGACTCGCTTTCTTTTCTTCCAAACCACAAATGGGCGAGCTTGTTCAGGGAAAAAGTTAATGAACGCCTGATTAGAGGCAAAGCTGCCCTACCTGCGATCACAACATCGGAAGACTGGAAGTATCTAAAAGCGCCATCCTCTGCGCTCTCGTCCCCGTCGGTGTGCGCTTCACACCCAGAAACCCAGGAACATGATTTATATGCAGACCTGCACCCATCCCACACAAGTCCACACGCCAGCTTGCCTAACCACTTATGTAAGCTCGTGCTTCCACAGTCCCAAACTGCAGACACACACACACGGGCACCTGTCACGCATCTGAAATGGACAAGCACCCACACCCAGGAGATGAAATCAACACATATTAATGGGGTGGGGAGGGAGGATACTGTTTTAAACCATGTTTTTCCCCCATTTGTTTCTTGCCCATTTTTTATCACAACTACAATTACCTTAGCAACCAAAGAATTGCCTTGACTCTCCCTCTGGCTCCAGAATTTTTCCTAAAGCCAACCTTGCGCCAGGTTCATGATAAAGCTGGAGAAGCCCAGGGAACCGGGGACCGGCAGCCTCTTGGGGGCGGAGGGGAAGTCTAGTCCGTCTCCGCGCCGCTCCCCACAGCCTCGCCTCCTCTTTCCGAGTTTCCGTGGTGGCGAGCGCAGGGGCTCAGCGAGCGAAGAGCGAAGCCCCGGGCCCGCGAGGACGCGCGGCGGGTCGCATGGTGCCGGGACTCGGGGCGCACAGGGTGTCCCCGGCGCGCTCCGGGCTGGCCTGGCTCTCCGCGCTCCCAGGCGTTCGCCGCTTGCCCGCCTCTGCCCGCCCCGGTCGGCAAGGGTGCGCGGAGGTCTGTCCGTTCCCTCGGCGCCTGGCGGCTCCGGCGGCTGTAGGAACGCGGCGCCCAGGCGGAGCTCTCGCCGCCGAGCAGGGCCGAGCGCGAGGAGCTGCCCCAACTCGCGAAGCCGTTCAGCTCCGCGGCCCGCGAGCTGCTGCAGCGGCGCCCGCTGTCGGATGCCGAGCGGAGCTGCAGCCCCGTGCCCCGCGCACCTGGGCGCCGGCACCTGGGCCCCGGCACCTGGGCCCGGACCGCGTGCTGCAGGGAGGGGCCGGCGGGCGGGGACCGGCACCTGAGCGCGTCCCGCGGGCGCCGCCGCACGGCTCACCTGTTCCCAGAGCCGCGGAAGGCGCAGACCGTGATTTGCTCGAGGAGGAGAAAACCTAGAAATGCCTCATCCTCAAGAAGCCGCCGAGAAAACCGAGAGACTGGCTCGACCGGGCGGAGGCTGCTTTCGTCAATTCCAAACTGGCCCGGTCCGGAAACTTCAGCGGCGTCAAGGTTCTCTTAGGGATTCCCGGCCCGGGGTGAGGTGCCCGGCGGCTTCTGAATCTCCCTCACTGACGTGTTGCTGGCGCCCTCTAAATTAAAACGGGACACCGCGACCGTCAGCGATATTGTTCCTAACCTCGTCATTTTTATGTATTCAACATGCACACCACACGCTGCATTTGGAATATTACAGGATGATTCCTATCTGGAACACTACAAAAGAACTTTCGAGAAAAGTAACTCTCAGATATTCTTGGGGGAAGCAGAAAAAAGTCGAAGACAGAAAATGAGAAAGTAACTTGAACTGATGCCTTTCTTTAACGTGGGAGTTTTGAAATGCGATGTGTACTTAGATTCAAAAAGCTGCAGGTGGA
Source organism: Homo sapiens (assembly GCF_000001405.40). NCBI lineage: Eukaryota > Metazoa > Chordata > Mammalia > Primates > Hominidae > Homo > Homo sapiens. The sequence goes on along the minus strand of NC_000014.9, from coordinate 71,931,695 downwards.
AATAGGACAAGATCACTAGTGCTGGACGGTAACCGTGGGATTTGTGTGCAATATCAATGCTATCAATATCAAGAATAAATTTGAGATTTAGTCCTGAATTGTAGTATGTCACCAGAAAAGGGGAAAAATACTTGAAATAAAATACCTAAATGCCTTTAACGATGGATGACCTGGACTCCTCATTCACATGGGTCCAGAAGTTAAAGAGTAAAGTCTCCTTCCCAAATTGTGTCTTTTCCCGCCATTCTACATTGATTAATGGATGTATTCATTCTTTCCTTCAATAGACAAATAGCACCTGCTCTGTGTTAGACCCTCTTCTAACATTAGAAATGGATAATAAAGGAAGCAGTCTCTGCCCTGAAGCCTTCACGTCGAATGGGATAACACACAAGCAGACATGTGTGTTATGGTAGGCTTAGTACACAGAAAGGCGGGGGGTGGGGGGAAACCTGCAACCAAGAGAAACCATACCCAGCCTAGTGAGGAAAATAGAATTGTAACAGATGTCCCAGTTGTTTATTAAAGCTGAAATATAAAATCTTTCTTTCCTCAGGCTCAATACTTGGCTCAAGCCGGTTGTGGAGCTGGCTGTGGCCGTTTGTCACAGTTAAAGAATAGGCTGTACATGGAGCGAAAGGTAGCAACTAGGGAAACTTCCGCTTTGAGGAGCTCTGCTTTTTTTTTTTTTTTTTTTTTTTTTTTTTTTTTTTTTTTTGAGACGTAGTTTCCTTCTTGTTGCCCAGGCTGGAGTGTGGTGGTGCAATCTTCGCTCACTGCAACCTCCGCCTCCCAGGTTCAAGCGATTCTCCTGCCTCAGCCTCCCAAGTAGCTGGGATTACAGGTGCCTGCCAGCTAATTTTTTGTGTGTTTTCAGTAGAGATGGGGTTTCACCATGTTGGCCAAGCTGGTCTCAAATTCCTGACCTCAGATGATCCACCCGCCTTGGCCACCCAAAGTGCTGGGATTACAGACTTGAGCCACCACACCCAGTGGGAACTCTGCATTTCTGAGGCTAGCAGCTCCTTGAGGGCCAAGTACAGCATGAAGGAATAATACTGTGGAAGTATAAACAGCAGGCTCCAGGCTCATCAGAAGAAAGCCTTACTGTGTACTTCTCTTTAAAAAAAAATATGTGAAATCAGATATTTATAGGAATTAGATATGTATTTTCATATTGATACATTTTGTGTATTATATGGGATTCCTGATATATCTATGTAGTATGGTTTCTTATACATAAAATATCTGATTTCATATGTATGTGTATGTATGTGGGGGGTATTTTATATATATATGTATGTAATAGAGACAGGACACATTTTTTGCTGACATGGCCAAGAGATTGGTTTATGTGCTAGGGAATTGAGCAAAGAAGTAAATACATTAAGAAAATTGGAGCCAGTCATCTCACTGCTGGAGAAGGGAATTACCAATACAGAAAGGCAAGAGATCTAGCTATGTGCCTTGAAGTTGGAGATGAAGGTGTAAAATGATTTTGGATCCAAAGAGATTATAGATAGATAGACAGAAAAATATAAGTGTATATGTGTGTGTATATGGTGATATATTTCCTAGGTTTGTCGACTGAGAAGGCCTAAAAGCAATGGCACCCCAGTAGCAATGAACACACCTAACACTCAGACCTTGGTTTCTTAATACCATCCTCCACTGAAAGGAACCACAGTTCCTTGGTATAGTGGATGAAACTAGAATAATTTGTTGTGCAAGGAAATGAGAAAATACTTAAAGAATTATGGAGACATGTCAAAAGAAGACAGAAGTCAGCTTGAAGGGGTTCCTGTTGGCCAAATCTTGAACTATTTAAGGAGTAAAATAGTTAATGACAAATTTAACCCTTTGAGTAAAATAAGAGTCCATGAGTCCATGCTGATAGAAACAGAGAAGGGAACTCTATAGTAGAATGCGACTAATAAATGAAGAAGAAAAGATAGAATTAGAAAACCACCATTTGGCAACCACCATCTTAATAATTGATTCAGGCCAGAATCATCAATAAATGCTAAAATTGGTGGGTAAAAGTTTGATGAGGAACAGGATATTTACATAGTCTCAAAGCATATCTCTAAAAATGTTCATTAATACATCATTAATTATTAATAAGTACAGCATACTTATTAACATGCAGCTGTAATACTTGGGAGGTATCATCTTAATCGACTGGTAAAATTTTACATAAATGAAAACCAGTGATGGGACAAATCAGCCTTGTGCAGCATCCTGATATGATATGCTGAGAATGTAGTGTCACTTCTTATGCATAAATATGTAAGTTAGGATAAAACATCAGACAAATGCAAATTGAAAGAAAAATCAAATAACTGGCCTGTATTCTTTAAAAATGTCAAGACTATGATAGTAAAGATGGTTTCAGATTGAAGGATGCTAAAGAGATGAGACAACTAAATGCAGCATGTGATCTTGAATGGGATCCAAAACCTATAAATGACTTTTGTGGCACAATCAGTGGATTCTGTGGATTCAATGGATTAAAATGGATCATTGTTATTTTCCTGATGTTGTACTCAAGGTATGTAGTAGAGTGTTCTTGTTTTTAGGAAGGAGAAACTGAAATATGAAGTGGTAAAGGGGCATCACATCTGCAACTTACCCTCAGAAGATGGAAAGGGAGCTCTTTGAATTATTTTTATAGCTTTTGTAATTTATTATAACATTATTTCAAAATGAAAGGTTAAAAAACATACATTAAAGTATAAGTGTTCTTACCAAATTAAAAAAATTGTCTTCCCTTTTATAAAATGATCACCATGGGTTTATTTTAAGAATCAATTCATGACTGGCTGTACTAAAAATATGATTTGATCTATTACTTTGTGAATATATACAATAATGTGATTCAGCCCAATACTTTGTTCATTCATTCAGCAATTACTTATTAAGGGCACACTGCATGCAAGGATCCTGAAATTCATCTAAAGTATCAAGTGAAATAATATTTATAGGTAAAACCCTGATTCTTTTGATTACTTCATTATCAAGTGAGGAGTTGCAGGAAAATGTGTAATAGAATTGATTGGCGTAGCTCTCAAAACGGGTGATAAATTGAACAGAAGAATGGAAATGAGTTGGCAATTTAGTTTCAATAACTTCATTGACAGGCCAAGGTAGAAAACTATTGCGTCGATGCATTTGGTGCATGTATTGATATTGGTGGCTTTGGGGAGGATAATGAGTTTTGGGTCATGTGGCCCATTGACCAAGACTGCGCATTCATGACATTTGACAGCTGATGATACTTTTCCTCAAACTCCCACATTTTCTTATTTTCACTCTTAAATGTAGTCTTTTTCTGAGAGCTAAAGACTCTTTTCTTTGCATTTTGGCAATAAAAGGAGAAAAGATTCCAGGTCACTTTTGCTTCATGTTAAATCCTGAAAGAAAATAAATGCCTGATTAGACATGTTAGAAATTGGTTCTTTCAGAGAATGGCTCAAAGGGCACAGAATTAGTAACACCTGGGGTACTTATTAAAACTTAGCAATAAAGAGTCTTGAACAACCAGATGCAGTGGCACACACCTACAATCCCAGCTAACTCAGAAAGCTGAGGCAGGAGGATTGCTTGAGTCCAGGAGTTTGAATCCAGCCTGGGCAACATAGTGAGATCCTGTCTCTAAAAAATTAAAAATAAACAAAATTGGATCTGTTTCTTAAATAGATGGTAATCATTTCTGAGGTTTAAAAAAAAAGGATTCTTGGCCGGGCGCGGTGGCTCACGCCTGTAATCCCAGCACTTTGGGAGGCCGAGACGGGCGGATCACGAGGTCAGGAGATCGAGACCATCCTGGCTAACACGGTGAAACCCCGTCTCTACTAAAAATACAAAAAAATTAGCCGGGCATGGTGGCGCGCGCCTGTAGTCCCAGCTACACGGGAGGCTGAGGCAGGAGAATGGCATGAACCAGGGAGGCGGAGTTTGCAGTGAGTCGAGATCGCGCCACTGCACTCCAGCCTGGGCGACAGAGCGAAACTCCGTCTCAAAAAAAAAAAAGAAAAAAAAAGGATTCTTGAACTTCATCTCAGACCTGATAAGTCACGATTTCTAATGATGGAACCAGGGCATCTACTTTTGAACAAGAATTTGCGAATCACAGCCTGTGGGGCCCTTCCTTCATAGAATGCCCAGCATTTCTGTTACCACTAATTGCATAATCCCCATCTCAAGGAGACAGTATGGCAAGCAAATTGATTACAGTGTGAAGTGGATTTTTTTTTCTCTTTGCAATGTGAAGTGGATTTTTTCTGTTTCCAGTGTTAGCACTTGATCTACAGTTTTGAAAACCGTGTGTCTGAGAATGAATGTGTTTATATCACAGTGCTGGAATAGTTATGTTTTAAGACTTGGAAATAATGTTATGTCAGAGTGCAATGCATATTTACAAAGTCCCATGCTTAATAATCAGAATGCAGGGATGTGTATATGTACAGCCAATACAAATGGGATAAAATCTACATCAACAATAACAAGTTTTTAAAAACCTACACCAGGCCCCAAATAACCATGGGCTGCTGTTCATGCCAGTTGTTTGGACCGAGCTTCTTTACCTAGGCATCTCCTAGACACTCTCATCCACTGCCTTCCCAAAGCTTGTAGTCAGAATTATCACAGAATAGGCAGGTACACATGTAATATGACTTGAAAAGAGGACAGGTCTCCTTGACCAAAAATATCCCACTCTGTCCCCTTCCTGCTAGATGCTGGGATTTCCACAGTTGATTAGAATCAATGACAGGCATGTTTGGTTAGGACCATGGTAAATAAGCAGAGAATATACTTCAATAAGAAGGATCCTTTATAGAGTCAATATGTGTCCATTGAAACCCTATCAAAAGTCCTAGTCATATATGACCACAGGTAACCCAAAAAGCTGAGGACACTAAAATTGAATGCATAACACCCTGTAAAACAAGAGAAAGCCTTTTTATTAAGGAGAACTATATTCTAATTAATTTAAGTCCTTTTGCTGGTATTTAAGAACCAGAGTTCAACTCACATGGTATTGTCAACCCTCTTACAAGTCCTGTATTTTCCAACTCTTCATTGATACTCTTTTTTTTTTTTTTTTTTTCTGAGACAGAGTCTCACTCTGTCACCCAGCCTGGAGTGCAATGGCGCTATCTTGGCTCACTGCAACCTCCGCCTCCTGGGTTCAAGCGATTCTCCTGCCTCAGCCTCCCAAGCAGCTGGGATTACAGGCATGCACCACCACATCTGGCTAATTTTTGTATTTTTAGTAGAGACAGGGTTTTGCCATGTTGGCCAGGCTGGTCTAAAACCCCTGACCTCAGGTGATCTGCCCACCTCAGTCTCCCAAAGTGCTGTGATTACAGGCATGGGCCACTGTGCCCAGCCTCTTCATTGATATTCTAAAGAACATAGAAATGAAATTTGTAAGATAATTTGAAATCAGTATGCCTCCAACTTTGCTTTTTTTCTTCAAGATTGCTTTGGCTATTTAGAATCTTTGTGCTTCCATATGAGTTTTTAAATTGTGTTTTTCTATTTCTGTGAAAAATACCATTGGAATTTTGATAGTGATTGTGCTGAATCTGTATATCACTTTGGGTAGCATATACATTTTGACAGTATTAATGTTTCTAAATCATGAACGTGAGATATCTTTCCATTTATTTGTGTCTTCTTCAATTTATTTTTATCAATGCTTTATAGTTTTCTATGTACAGATCTTTTACCTCCTTGGTTAAATTTATTTGTAAGCATTTTATTCTTTTTGATGCTATCATAAATGGGATTGCTTTATTAATTTATTTTTGATAGATCATCATTGGTATAATGAAATGCAATTGATTTTTATGTGATTTTGTAAGCTGTAGTAATCAAGACAGTGTGATACTGGCATAAAAACAGACAAAAAGGCCAATGGAACAGAAGAGGAAGCCCGGAAATAAACCTTATAATATAATATAATATAATATAATATGAAGTCATCTAATTTTTGACAAAGGCACCAAGAAAATGCATTGTGAAAAGGAGAGTCTCTTAAATAAATGGTACTGGGAAAACTGGATATCCACATGGAAAAGAATGAAATTGGACCCTTATCTTACACCATAGACAAAAGTCAACTCAAAATGGATTAAAGACCTAAACATAGACCAGAAACTGTAAAACTCATAGAAGAAAACATAGGGGGAAAGCTCCTTGACATTGGCCTGAGCGATAAGTTTGTTGGATGTTATACCAAAGGCTCAGGCAACAAAGGCAAAAATAAACAAGTGGGACTACATCAAACTAAAAGCTTCTGTAAAGCAAAGGAAACAGCAGGGTGAAGAGGCAACCTACGGAATGGGAGGAAATACCTGCAAGCCTTATGTCTAATAAGGGGTTAATATTCAAAATACATTAGGAACTCAATTCAATCGCAAGAAAACAATCTGATTAGAAAATGAGCAAAGAACTTGAATAGACATTTTTTTAAAAGACGTAAAAATGGCCAACCCATATATGAAAAGAATGTTCCACATCATTAAATCATCAGAGAAATGCAAACCAAAGCCACAATGAGTGTCACCTCCTGCCTATTAGAATAGCTATCATAAAAAAAGACAAAACATAACAAGTGTTGGCAAGGAGGTGGAAAAAAGGGTACACTGTTGGTAGGAATGTAAACTGGTAGAGCCATTATGGAAAACGTGTGGAGATTCCCTTAAAAATTAAAAATAGAACTGCCACACGACCCAGCAATCCCACTACTGGGTATCTACCGAAGACAAATAAAATCCATGATGCTGAAGAGATATCTGCAGTGCCATGTTTATTGAAGCATTGTTAACAATATTCTGGTTATGGGAACAACTTAAGTGTCCATCAGTGGATGAATGGATAAAGAAACTGTTATTATGTAGATTTAGATACATAGACATGTACATTCCATATACATGGAATATTATTCAGGCTTAAAAAAGGAGATTCTGTCATTTGCTACTACATGAATGAAACTGAAAGACATTATTCTAAGTAAAATAAGCTACACATAGAAAGGAAAATATTGCATGATCTCACTTATATGTGGAATCTTTAAAAAGTCAAATACATAGAAACAGACAGCATAACAGTGGTTACCAAGGGCAGGTGGGGGGCATGGAAATGAGAAGATGTAGGTCAAAGGGGACAAAATAGCAGTTATGTAGGATGAGTATGTCTAGGAATCTAATGTATAGCATGAGGGCTATAGCTTATAATATTGTCTTGTGCACTGGAAATTTGCTAAGAGAGTAGATTTTAGGTGCTCTAACCAAGCACACCAAAAAGGTAACTAGGTAAGTGACGGAAATGTTAATTTGCTTGACTGTAGTAATGATACTTTACATATGCATATTACAACATCATGCTGTACACCTTAAACATAGAAAAAAAATTAATTACAAAAATACCAGCCTGGGCAACATAGCAATACCGCATCGCTACAAAAATTTAAAAAATTAGCTGGGCATAGTGGCACAAGCCTGTAGTCCCAGCTACTGGGGAGGCTGAGGTGGGAGAATCACCTGAGCCCAGGAGGCTAAGGCTCCAGTGAGCCATGATTGCACCACTGCACTCCAGCCTGGGCAACATAGCAAGGCACTGTCTCAAAACATAAATGAATGGATGAATGAATAATAAATAAATAATAGGAAGAAATTTCTGCCATTTCCCCAAACAAAATCCTCGGCAGATTACCTTGTATCTCAAGACAACAGAACTATTCCCTGCATAGATCACGAAGGTTTCCTGCAATGTCCTTTGTCCCATCTTGCACCATCTCCCAAGACCCAGGAGTAGTTTTCTCTTTAATCCGTAGAACATTTTAATGCCCCACCCCCCTACAAAAGTTCCCTCATTCCCCTTTGGATCCAATCACCTCCCTCCTCCCTGGCTCCTGGTGACTACTGATCTGTTTTCTGTTGCTATGGTTTCGCTTTTTCTAGACTGTCATGGAAATTGAATCCTAGAGTATGCAGTCTTTTGTGTCAGGCTTCTTTTACTTGACATGATGTCTTTTTAGATTCACTCATGATGTTGCACGTATCAGCAGTTCATACGTTTTTATTGCTGAGTAGTTCTTCCTGTACAGATATATCACAACTTTAAAAAAAATAGATATGAGGTCTTGCTATGTTTCCCAGGCTGGACTCAAACTCCTGGGCTCAATCAATCCTCTCACCTCAGCCTCCCAAGTAGCTGGGATTACAGGTGTACACCACCATGCCAGCTCTATCACAATTTTTTTAATCCATGCCAGGCTTCTTTTGATAACTATCATACTTCTGACATGCCCTACCCCTAGAAGGCCATGCTCCATTCATACTTTGCCTATGCACAGAATATATAGACTCTGTAATAGCCACTGTTTGTTGTCTACCACACCCATTCCCTTTCCCATCCCCATCCTGGACAATTCTCTACTCACACCTTCTTTGCTGGTTTATCCTCCTTCTAGAAGCCATGACTCAGAGAACACCTAATCCCACCTCCACTAGAGTGGATCTTCATTAGACTAAGCTAATCATGGCCGTTCCATTTCTGTGGCCATGATATGAAATTATGACCAATAAAAAATGAAGGAAAAATATGCTGGGGGCTTTTGGAAAAAGGCTTCTGAGCTTTTAGTCCTTGCTCTCCTGTTCTCCTTAGTCCTGCCATGTCCTGATTCTGGGATCAGGAACTTATTCACATAGGAACCCCAAAAAGCTCAACTCTAGCAAGATTTTCAATGGGTTTTCTGAAATGGAATTTTGAGAACTATAGCATCTAGGTTCCTTTTTTTGTTTTGTTTTGTTTTGTTTTGTTTTGTTTTTGTTTTTTGTCTTCCCATCACATTTACTTCTGTGGTAAACAAACAAAAAGAGCATGGTACAGTCTACAAAATACCTGGCCAGTACTGTTCAAAACTGTCAAGAACATAATAATTTTTTTAAAAGACTAAGAAACTAACACAGACTGAAGGAGACTAAGGAGATATGATAACTAAATGCAATGTACTATCCTGGATTGAATCTGGAACAGAAAAATGGCATTAGTAGAAAAACTAGTAATATCTAAATGAAATCTATAGTTTAGTTAACTGTATTGTACCTGTATCAATGTCTTAGTTTTTGACAAATGTACTATGGTTATGTAAGATGTTAACATAGGCCATGATGAAGACTTTGGGTGTTATTTTAGGTGTGAGGGAAAGCTGTTCGGGGTCTTTAAGCAAGAGACTAACACAATCATATGCATTATTCCCATTCTAGCTGCTGTGTTTAGAATATACCACAGGGGAGAGACAGTAAGGATTGTGGCTGTTGTGGTAATCCAGTATGGTGAGGGATGATGGTGTTTTGTCTTGGGTTACACTGATAGAGGAAAAAGTAATGAGAACCTGTCGAGTTCAGAATAACATTTAGCTGATAAAACTTGTTGATGAATTAGAAGAGGATTGTGAGAGGAAGAGAGGAGTCAAAGATGATTCCAACCTTAAAAACTTCGGAAAATGATACTGCCATTGACCAAAGTCAAGAACAACAAGATGGAGCATGTTTGCTGGAGAACAGCACTTGGTCTGGAACCCTGTTAGGTCTGACATATCTGTTGGGAGGTTGCATATTCATTTCAGTGCTTTGGGAGAGATGGGGACTAGGAATAAAAAATAGGTGGGATTTAAAGCCACAGAACTAAGAGAAATTCCCGTGGCAGTGACAGTGTCTACAGAGAGCAAAACAGGGTGAAAAAGCTTGGGAGAATCTGCCAACCATAAGCTATGTGTTAAACTACACACATGGACACAGACACAGATATCCTGATACAAGCCCATGGGCCCTTCCATCCTATCAAAAATCGCTTTTGTAGTCCCTCTTATGAGGCATTCAGCTGGGGCATCAGGAAGTGATGCTTTAAAAAACCGTTGTATCTGTATAACTGAAACTTTGTATCCTTTAACCAATGTCTTCCCATTTCTCCCATCTCCCCACCCTCTGGCAACCACCATTCTTCTCTCTGCTTCTCTGAGTCTGACTTTTTCAGATCCCACATATAAGTGAGATCATGCGGTATTTTTCTGTGTCTGCCTTATTTCATTTAATATAATGTCTGCCAGGGTCATCCACATTGTCCACATTGTGTTACAAATGACAGGATCTCCTTTGTTAGGGCTGGATAATATTCCATTGTATATTTCTTTATTCATCCATCGGTAGACATGTAGGTTGATTCCATATCTTGGCTATTGTGTATGATGTTGCAATAAACATGGGAGCATAGCTATCTCTTCAAAATACAAATTCCATTTCCTTTGGTTATATATCCAGTAGTGGGAATGCTGGGTAATACGGTAGTTCTATTTTTAATCCCTGGGGGAACCCTTTTTTTTAATCTTTGGGGGAACCCCCTTTTTCCATAATGGCTTTACTAATTTACATTACTACCAACAGAGTGCAAGAATTCCCTTTCTTCACACCCTTGCTAACACTTATTTTTTGTCTTTTCAATGATAGCCATTCTAATAGGCATGAGATGATATCTCATTGTGGTTTTGGTTTGCATTTCTCTGATGATTAGTGATGTTGAGCATTTTTTCATATACCAGTTGGCTATTTTTATGTCTTCTTTTGAGAAATGTCCTACTCAGGTCCTTTGCCCTTTTTTTAAATCAAGTTATTTTCTTGCTATTGAGTTTCACATATATTGTGGATATTACCCCCTTAACAGATAATTTGCAAAATATTGTAAATATTTTCTCCCATTCCATATGTTGCCTCTTTACTCTGTTAATTGTTTCCTTTGCTATGCAGAAGCTTTTTACTTTGAGGCAATCCCATTTGTCTATTTTTGCTTTCGTTGCCTGTGCTTCTGGGGTCATATCTAAAAAATCATTGCCCAGAAACCGATGTATTTAACCTGCATTCTAGTAAGACAAAAGTATTTCCATTAGATTTAATATACACATGAGCAGGCAGTTAGTATTTAAAATACCCCAACCAGACATACTTATTATTCTTAGGGTAACTGCCCCAAGTTGATCTTTGTGTGTGTGTGTGCACGCGCGTGTGCGCATGCAAGAAGGAATTCACAGAAAGGTTTTAAGCTCTTTTCAATTAACTCTAAGTGTTTTTTTAATTTCTATTTCTCTGCATTCTGACCTCTTTTTTCAGACAAAGTCTTTATTTCCTACCTCTTTCTCTTCAGTAGACCTCGACTCCATCATATACACTCAACCATCAGCCCTCCTCACCAGCTCCCTTGCTGACTTGTTCAGTGGGGTTTTCCTTCCATCTTGACTCCCCTCACAATGGGGACAACACAACTCTCCTCCTTTATATGTGATATGATTATTCTATAGCAGATTGTGAAGACAAAGGTGGCCAAAAGTAGAGCCTTTAGTAGATTCTTTGGTCTGGATGATAAAGCTGCTGAGCTGCCTTGGGTGTGATAACCACTAGCGCAGATTAATCAGTACCCCAGGCTCACCTTTTCCTCAGTCCTATGGGTAATTAATCTCAAAGACCTGCGTCTGAATTCACAGGTGTTAGAATTTGCCTAAATCTAGGGTAGGATGATTAGTTTACCCTGTTCATGTAAGGGTGAGCTGCCTGTGTAATATTGCTAACCTAGCTACATATATTGAACACCACTCATATCAACAATAAAAAATTCTTTATTTTATTTTATTTTATTTTTTTGAGACAGAGCCTTGCTCTGTTACCCAGGCTGGAATGCAGTGGCGTGATCTCTGATCACTGCGACCTCCACCTCCTGGGTTCAAATGATTCTCCTGCCTCAGACTCCTGAGTAGCTGGGATTACAGGCACATGCAACCATTCCTGGCTAATTTTTATATGTTTAGTAGAGATGGAGTTTCACCATGTTGGCCAGGCTGGTCTCAAACTCCTGACCTCAAGTTATCCACCCTCCTCGGCCTCCCAAAGTGCCAGGCTTACAGGTGTGAGCCACCGCGCCCAGCTTAAAAAATTATTTCTAATGTGTGTTATGCTAACTAACAAATCCTCTGGTGTTGATTAGAGATATAGTTGAAGCTGCATATATTAACCTTCTCCCACCCCCAGCACACACATGTGCAGGCTTTAGAGAGGAGTGTCTATGGACGTTCAGACTACTCCTGGAATAGGCATTCCTGGCTAGGAAATTTCAAATATTAACTTCCTATTTATCTGTCCATTAGACTTAACATACACATCACACACACACACACACACCCTATATCTTGTTGACATACAGGTTAAAATACAGCTTTCTCATCCCCAGAGGAGATGTGCTAAGTCAGAAATGCCGTCACTGGGAGCTAAATATCAGTGCTCTAACTAGCTTTATGGGTAACTAAGGTCATCCTCAGACACCCTAGAGTTAGAGGAAGGCTGTTGTAAAGAATAAGAGTAGGGGGACCTGCCCTCACCCCCACGGGCACTTACTGTGGAAAACTATGCACAAGCCAAAGGGAGAACCAGCCTCTGCTCTTCTCCCCCTCTGAGGCTGAGTCCTTACCAGAAGCCGTGGGGAAGCTGGGAGCTGTGGATGACAAAATTGACTCCTTATTTGGAGTTTCCGGAGCCCCTGTGGGCACATGAGCACAAAGGAAGAAAGCTCTTTTCTCTTTTCTGTTTACCCAAGCACTGGGGTAGATCATATATGGTTTTGTTGGGAGCATCACTTTCTTGGGAAAAAAAAAAGGAAAAATTTTCTCTAACCATAAAGAAGAGTTTGTACTATCAGGTGTGTTTCAAACAGAACTTTATCATTGTAACTCAACACCCTGCTTACCATATATATTTGCTTTTCTTTTTAATGTATATCTTAGAAGGCAGTAAAATAATATTATCCGTAAAAAATAGAACAATTGACTAAAATGAAGATTGAAAACTAATCCCAAAGGAAATTGTTAGGGGGTTAAACTTCAGGACGATAGATTGTTTAACAGACTTGCATACCAGGGATGAAGACTATTTCACGTAATGGAAAAAGATCAAGATTTAAGAAAATATACACATATAAATATTTATGCTGAGAAAGTAGGAGAGCTTTGTTAAACTACTGTATCAACTCAAATGGAAACACAAAGTTATTTTGCTGTAAACTACATCTCTGTTTGCATCTCTTTCCTCTCAATTAATGAAGTAAACAATTTCAGTAGTAAAATTTCAATCCCAATAAACTACGCATTTTCATTCTCTTTGAGGGGTCTCTAAAACTAAACAAAATTAAGAGAAGGAATCCACTGGATAATCTTTTCACAGAATCAGGCTTTAGCAACTGATTTAATGTAGCAAGTGAAACCAAGCCTGTAAATGGTGAATGCAGCCTTTAATTTCACTATGATGGTTAACTATGAGAAGTGTTTTTTAAATGAGATAAACTCAAGCTGAAAAATCTAAGAACCACCATTTTAAAAACATACAGTTCGAGAGTTCCTCCAAGTTGGCCTTATACTTGAGAAGCTTTTTTTTTTTTTTTTTTTTTTTTTTTTTTTTTTTTTTGAGACTGGAGTCTTGCTCTGTCACCCAGCAGGCTGGAGTGCAGTGGCACGATCTCGGCTCACTGCAAGCTCCGCCCCCCGGGTTCACGCCATTCTCCTGCCTCAGCCTCCCGAGTAGCTGGGACTACAGGCGCCCGCCACCACGCCCGGCTAATTTTTTATTTTTTTGTATTTTCAGTAGAGACGGGGTTTCGCCGTGTTAGCCAGGATGGTCTCGATCTCCTGACCTCGTGATGCGCCCGTCTCGGCCTCCCAAAGCGGTGGGATTACAGGCGTGAGCCACCGCGCCCGGCCGAGAAGCTTAAATTGACAGGAAAACCCCACCGCTAAGAAGTCCTAGCTGGTAACATTTGCAGTTAGTCTCTGCTACTTATTTTACAGATAAGAAAATAGGCCCAGGGAGAATCATTAAATGATCAGGGACACACTACCGAAAGATGACCCCTGGAACAGAACTCACATCTCCCAGTTCCAGCCCTGTGTTCTTCCTAATGAGACTTTTCAAAGTTTTTGCTATTGTTTGACTTGTGTTGTTTTTTTCAGCTAAAAAGCAGTCAAGACTGACATGATGACAGAGGGAGCAGGTGGGCCACACGCAGGGCTGCAGCCTAAGCTGTGACTTCTACCAACCCTGAGAGCTCCCAAGGTCGCGGGTAGACAAACCAGGTGCTTCCCATCTCCCCAAACCTCCTGTTGCTTGACATCAGAGAAGTCTGATTAATTCGTGCTCTGATTACTTAGGCTTTATTTGTAAATAGTTGTGGTAAAAACCTTTTCCCTACCCAACTGCTTTATGTATACTTTTAACAGCAGCAGCAGCAGAAAAGGGTGTGTGACCTCCACCAGGCAGCCTCTGTGATGAGGTCTGTCATGTGTACCATGCGATCCCAACATAGGTCTGGGGAGCTCTGATATGGTGACCCATATACCGTCACCCCACATCTCCATACTATCACAGCTGGCAGGACAGTCCAGTGAGTTAAAAGAAGTATCTAAGATCATTGCCAATACTAAAGGTGGTCCTAATACCAGAAGCATGTGGTAATTAACTCTATAGACTATTTTAAAATCCATGACCCAGGATCTTAAAGCAGCCTGACCCATGAGTGCAGTCCCAAAGTGATGACCTGTGGCATCCTGTTTCTGAATCTCATGGATCCCTGACCCTGGCTTGCTCACCACCTATTTTCAGCCATTCTCTTGCCTGGCTAGGGAATTCTATTTCCTTAATTTAACCCTGTGTACACTCTAAGGTTTTCATATGGTCCTCACCTAGGAATCAGCTGGGCAGCTCCTTGAAATTCATATCCCAGGCCATGCATCCAGGGATCCTGATGCAGTGACTTTGGCATGTGTTCTGGGAATCTGCATTTTAACAAACCCCACTGGTCCTTTACCCTTTGCCCTACAATGCTGACCCCGACACGGACCAGCTCCTCACTAAGCCACCAGGTACCTTCATGGGCCACCCTGCCAAGTTTACCCCGGGGGTGCTTGCCCTAATTGCCTGATCCTCTCAGAGACCTCATGCCTCAGTGGTGCCATCTCTGAATGGGGTCGGGCTCGGCGTCTGGAGAATTCCTAAAGCATTATAGTCTCCCAGGCCTGCAGATCCACACTGCAAATTCATGCTTGAAATCAGGCTAATTTTCTTTTCAATCCTCAAAGCACAGAGGATTCATTTCCCTCCCTTTCTTGGTCAAAAAAACGTATTTCCCTTGAAGAACCTGGATTTATAAAGCACAGAGACCTATTTACCAAAATTTCTTGAGGGCATCTTCTTCCTCAGCCTGTAAACACAAAGCATAAGCCATTTCATCAGTGGGGGCCTTTAGATTGCTGCTAGTGAAAACTTAATCAACATTAAAGAGATTTCGTGGCCCGAGTAGCTGGAAGGTCCAGCCAGGTCCAGGCCCAGTTTGATTCAGCTCTTTCCATCTACTTTTTTGTTTTGTTTTCAATCTATTTTGCCTTCCAAGTCATAAGCAGCACCCAGCTCCACATCTACAAACCACAAAAGCAGAGGGGACATGTCTGCTACAGCAGCTAAAAGAATCCTGATTAGACCATTTTGGTCACATGCTGGGCTAGTCTGCTAGGACTGCCATGAGAAAATACAACAGACTGTGTGGTTTAAATAACACTTATTTCTTACAGTTCTGGAGGGTGGAGGTCCAAGATCAAGGGCAGGTTGGTTTCTCTTGAGGCTTCTCTCCTTGGCTTGCAGACGGCCACATTCTTGCTGTGCCTTCCCGTGGTCTGTCCTCTGCGTGTGAGCATCCCTGGTGTTTCTCTGTGTCCACATTTCCTCTGCTTATAAGGACACCAGTCAAAGTGGATTAAGGCCCATCCTAACAACGTCATTCTAACTTAATTCCCTCTTTAAAGGCCCTCTCTCCAAACACAGTCACATTCTGAGGTACTAGGGGTTCAAGCTTCAATTTATGAATTTGCAGGGAGCACGGGAGACCCAAAATTCAGCCCATAACACAAACCTACACTGAACCAATCACTTCAGCACAAATGAACATGCTGATTGACTTAAACAATCCTATCCTGAAGCTAGGGGTGGGAGGAGAGTCTCCCATAACTGACATAGGCTATACAAAGTGGAGTGGACACTAGGCCCTACTGGGTCCTGCTGGGATGGAGGGAGGGATGAATGGGATGCTGGGTAGTCATACAACAATGGCCAGAATTGCTATTGCAGCCTCGAAATCCACCCAGGGAACTCACAGGCATCTCTCTGACTACAAGCAGCAGAAACAAGACACAAAATTCGTCTGCTACACAGGAAGACAGGTGAAGGAGCTGTGGGGGATAATGGAAAGGGTGGGGCTCCCATCAAATGGGGAAAGGTTTACCTGACAGACAACTTTCTGTTCTCTACTTACTCTCCTCCAAGTTGAACTTTTTCTTTTTTTTTTTTGACAAGGAGTCTCACTCTGTCGCCCAGGTTGGAGTGCAGCGGCACGATCTCGCCTCACTGCAACCTCTGCCTCCCGGTTCAAGCGATTCTCCTGCCTCAGCCTCCTGAGTAGCTGGGACTACAGGCACACGCCACCATGCCCGGCTAATTTTTTTTTTTTTTGTTATGTTTACTAGACACGGGGTTTCACCATGTTGGCCAGGCTTGTCTCAAACTCCTGACCTCAAGTGATCTGTCTGCCTCGGCCTCCCAAAGTGCTGGGATTACAAGTGTGAGCCACCACCCCGAGTTGAATCTTGAAGTCTTCTCCAGATGAACGTCACATCTGTTCATCACATTCATTTCTTATGTCACTCTGTATCAATTTAAAAATCTACAGATATCTACTCTTAAGGGAGTGGTGCCTGTTTTCTTTGTGAGCACAAAAATAAGCTCAAGCAGAAGAACAAATAGAAGTAAAGCATTTTTAGGTACAAAAACAATAGTGTGCATGTCTATATTTTTGTCCCGTAAAGAAGTTGGTACCACAGTGTTTTTTTAAAAAACACTACTTGTACATTGGGGGTCGGGGGAGGAATGTTGCCAGCCTGGGCAACAAGAGTGAAACTCCGTACCCAAAATAAAAGGGGCCTGATTCTTTTACAGGAAACCGACTGGTAAATCATGAATTACTGGTAAATGAAATACTCATCAGCAAGGAGGGACCCGAATGAGTTAAGACTTAAAGGCAAGCTGGAGATGAGAAAGAATTAAGATCCGTTAGTTCTTAAAGAGATTCTGGGTAGAAAACAAGCTCACCAGGGTCCATGAAAAATCTCTAGGAAAAGGAAAGATAAGAAAAGTGAAACTTGGAGTTGGTCATTGGTGTAGGTTCCCCAAATTTATTCTACTCCAAATGTAGCCCAGGACAACCAAAGCAACCTCATTTCCACTGCCAGAGATTGATTTTTCAGGAGCAAACAAGAAATGAACCATGGCCAAAAAAGTTTTCCTCACTTCTCTAAAGAAATACAGGAATAGAAAATGCCTCTTCTTCCACTGGACATCGTCTTGTTAGGGTATGATGCCTACAACTTAGCAGTCAGCTGGCCCAAGGACAAAACCCACCTCCAGGGAGAGAGGACCAGGAGAGTCTCAGAGAAGCAAAGCCAGGGCGCACGGCACATGTAATGCCCAAAGCCTGCCCTAACACTGTGCTTCCTGTGATCACGTAATAAACTTCCCTGTACTGGGCCAGTTGGAGTCAGGATCTTGAATTCCTTGCAGCAGAAAGCTTCCTAACAGTTCCACTGGATTTTGATGACCATGAGTTCTAACAGTTAAGTTCTAGCAGGTAAATTAGATAATCCACTTTAATTACCAATTAGGAAGCTTTTGGCTGCAAATTGCAGAATACATGACTAAAAGCCTTTTAAACAATAAGGATATTTATTTGTCTTGCTTAACAAGAAGCAGGGAGGAAAGTGCTTCTAGGCTCTGTATCCAATTAGACTCCAAATCTGTGATCCTCAGATGACCAAAGAGCAGGAAGAGAGGTGTGGAGTTTCTTCTTGCATGTGTCTCCTTTTGTCAGCAATAAAAAATTGTTCCAAGTTCCTCAGCTCACTTCCTTCGTAAGTCTCATCGGCCAGAACAGAGTGGGTTGCATGTCCATCCTCTCTTCAAGCAAGTACATGGCCTTTCCAGCCTCTCTCATGGAGCTGGCTCTGCCAGGCAGGAGGATGTGGGAGGCGAATGACTACTGGACATGAGAGCCAGTTCCCTTAGCCAAATCCCCAGCCCACTTTCCTCTGTTAACCTAAGACCGTGAGAGCCACAGAGGAAGGAAAGGAGAAAACTTTATTTTCAGAAGGAGAAACAATCCGCAGACTGGGGAGTGCAGCTTCCAGGGAAGATGGAAAGTACAGACTCTGCAGAAGGGAGGGAGAAGCTAGTACATATGCCTTGCAGGGCCAGCCTTACACATATTGAGCAAGTTTAGGGGATATCTATGGATGTTCATGAGGGAAGTCAGATGCATATGTAGTGGGTAAATGTATATGTAACATACATTCAATGTTCACTTCAGGGTGGGGTTTTAGCATTAAAATGAAGTGAAATCTGGCTCTTTATGTAAAAAAGTGAACTGTAGGCCAGGCGCGGTGGCTCACGCCTGTAATCCCAGCACTTTGGGAGGCCGAGACAGGTGGATCATGAGGTCAGGGTATCGAAACCATCCTGGCTAACACAGTGAAACCCCCTCTCTACTAAAAACATACAAAAAATTAGCCGGGTGTGGTGGTGGGCACCTGTAGTCCCAGCTACCCGGGAGGCTGAGGCAGGAGAATGGCATGAACCCGGGAGTCAGAGCTTGCAGTGAGCCGAGATCATGCCTCTGCACTCCAGCCTGGGTGACAGAGCAAGACTCCAGTCTCAAAAAATAAAAAAAAAATAAAAAAGTGAACTGTAGAACCAGAGACAGTTTGTGTGCAGTCTCTATAAGCTGACCCAAAGTGGCTTGGGATCTGCAGCTATTTATCAGGAAAGAATGTTTAGAAGACTGGTCCTCTGTCCAGTTGGAGTGGTGGGACCACAAGGCTGAGAAAGGGGTGAGAGTGTTGGTCAACTGGTACCAGGTGGTCTATCTGGGTCATTTGGGAAATTTCCCGGTTGTAGTTGTTTCAGCAATACTTTTCAGTAGACCTGAGCTCCATCATATATACTCAGCCATCAGCCATCCTCCCCAGCTCCCTTCCTCCTTCTTCAGTTTTGGGGTTTTCCTTCCATCTTGACTCTCCCCACCCTAGTGACACTATAACACTCTTCATTTGTAAGTAATAAGATTCTACAGCAAATTGTGAACACGATGGTCACCAAAAATAGATCCTTTAGTGTGAGAAATAAAAATAAAATCCTAAGCCCAACCAATTGAACAGGCCCCCTCTTGGTCAAAAGGACCCCTGACAAACCTTAAAAATTGAGTTCCCAGCCAGGACAGGACAGGACATTGGATATGCCCCATTATATACTTCGCCCTTGCTAATCACGATTAGACTCTTTCCTCAGAGTTCAGCAAAAACCAGCCCTTTTGAAAGTCTTGCCAGACTTCCTTCTCTCGTTGCCACTTTGACATAACACCTACCAGCATTTCTTTCTAATAAGAGACTAACATAAGAGACCACTGGTCATGGACTGGTTCTGGCAGGTTTACAGAGGCTGCTTACGGGATGCTTTGTGTCTTCCATTTCATCTTTTGATGGATAGAACCTAATTTTAATGCGTTTAGATGTTAAGTCTCCACCCCAAAGTGAATATGGGACGTAAGCAACATGCATGGTTGCCTTCTACACATGCATGCCCCCTTCATGAATATTCATAGCTCCTCCTATAATCTGTTGAATATATATGCTTAGCCGACCTGTTCAGCATTAATTCCTGTCTCACCCTTCTCTTCCTCCAGTGCC
Organism: Homo sapiens; assembly: GCF_000001405.40. Taxonomy (NCBI): domain Eukaryota; kingdom Metazoa; phylum Chordata; class Mammalia; order Primates; family Hominidae; genus Homo; species Homo sapiens. The sequence goes on along the minus strand of NC_000014.9, from coordinate 71,911,813 downwards.
TGCTTTCGGTTTCCACCAGAGGCCATGCTTCCCAGCCTGTGGGATGGCCAGCCAGCAGGCTGCATTCCTTTATAAGAAATAAAGCTCTTCACTCCAAATTTATGAACCTCATGATTCTTCAGTTGACAAGTAGAGTCTTTGGTCTGGATGGTAATGCTGCTGAGTGGATGTTAAACACTAGCACAGATTAATCAGTACCCCAGGCTCACCTTTCCCTCAGTTCTAATGGCAATTAATCTCAAAGACCTGCATCTGAATTCACTGGTGTTAGGATTTGCCTAAGCCTACGGTAGGATAATTAGTCTACCCTGTTCACGCAAGGATGAGGTGCCTGTGTAATATTTCTGACATATTTCTCCGTATTTCAAACCCTGCTCATTTTCCCTATGAAAAACAGAATACTTGTGTGACCCAGTGGGAATCCCAATTTTGACTAAAAATGGATGTCTTGCCCATCCTGGCAAATGGGAATGAAGAAGTAATTTAATAAGGTTTAGAAAAAATAAAGAAGTGTGATGGTTCTTGAATCGAGGTGTTGAGTAGCAAACTGTTACCCTCTAGTCCCGTAGGAATTAAGCCATTGTGGTCAGAAGACAGGCAGTGATATTGGCCATTTTGCAGCGAGATCTCCACCTGATGCTGTCACAATGCAAATAAGGCACATACTCTGCCTATTAATAAGTTAAATGTACTGTTGACTTTGCTTTTTACACCTTCACTTCCCTGTAAACATAAATATTTACATTTGTGAGGACATTTACAAAGCACTTTCACAGATCTCTATGAGATCAGAAATCAAGCCAAGAAAGGCAATAATATACCTTATGGAAAAAAGGACAAGACTCAGAGAGGGAAGTCAAATAAAATCATACCAACAGAGCTGGGAAAAAAACTCAGGTGTCATTGATCCACACCCTGTCACTGTCCACGCAGACCTCAAGGAATTTAGTTCCAAAGGGATCTCATGTTTTCCCAAATTGCATCCTTCCTCTTGAGTTTCCACTCTGAGAATAGCACCATTACCCCATCACCCAAGCTGGAAATTTGGGCATCTTCCTAAACATCCCACACTCTCTCATTCCTCACCACCCACGAAGTCACCTCCTTCTTGATACCTCTCAAATCTGCCCCTCTCTCTTTACCCAATGCTGCTGTCCTCACCATTTCTCATTTGAACACTTGCTGGGGGAAAAACGTAATTTCTCCTCAACCCTCATAAGTTCGTAGTAGGGGCAGACCCCTGAAACAAAAAATAAGCAAGTTTATTAATGTGTGTAATGCACAGCAATGCCAGAGAAACTTCAATGAAAGGTGACTCAAAGCAGTGACTTAGAACACTGGCTTATGTAGTACCTTAAACAAAAAACAATAAATCTGTAGAGAAATGACAGGACAAAGAGAAGCAGTCTTAGGCTTTCAAAGGTAGGAAACTATGGGAAGGTAAACAGATGAAAATTAACTAACAGAGCAAGGCTCGTTTGTAGATTTCTTTCCTGGAGCTGTCTCCAGTAAAGGAGAATTTATATTCTGTCTTTGGGAAGCAAAGGGGAAGCACAGAGAGAGCTCTTCTCTGCTTGCTGTTTTTTTGTTTTGTTTTGTTTTGTTTTGTTTTTGTTTTTGTTTTAAGACAGAGTCTCGCTCTGTTGCCTAGGCTGGAGTGCAGCGGCACAATCTTGGCTCACTGCAAACTCTGCCTCCTGGGTTCAAGCAATTGTCCTGCCTCAGCCTCCCAAGTAGCTGGGATTCCAGGCGCGTGCCACCACACCTGGCTAATTATTTTTGTATTTTAGTAGAGATAGTGTTTCATCATGTTGCCCAGGCTGGTCTCAAACTCCTGAGCTCAGGCAATCTGCCCACCTCGGCCTCCCAAAGTGGGAGCATTACAGGCATGAGCCACCGCACCTGGTCTGCTTGCTGTTTTTTAATTGCCTTTAGCTCAAATACACTTATGTCAAAGAGGCTCATTTTGGGGTGACATATTCTGGTTTTCTTCACCATTATAAAAGTGTTTTAACCGGTCTCCCTTGCCTGTAGTTTGGGATCCCCTCCCAACCCAATTATCCTCTCCCCAGTGCCTGAGTGAGCTTTCGGAGTGCAGCTCTGAACACAGCACTCCTTTGCTTAAAAGTCTTCAATAGCTCCTTCTTGAATAGAGACTGGAGTCCCATCTTAATCTCTCTCTCTCTTTCCCCCCTCTCTCTCCTTTCTCTCCTCTGTCTCTCTCTTTCCCTCTCTCTATGTCCTTATTTCTCTCTCTCTCTCCCTCTCTGTCTCTCCCTCTTTTTCTCTCCCCACACCCTCTGTCCTTATTTCTCTCTCTCTCTCTCTCTCTGTGCAGGTGTATGTGTTTCTGTCTCTGTCTGTCTCTCACACATACACACATAGAGCAAACTGTATATTACACCTCTACTAAATTGCATCCAGTTTTCTGAACATAGCAAATACTTTCATAACTCTGTTGCCCGAAGAGAGGGTCCCGATACAGACCCCAAGAGCAGGTTCTTGGATCTCATGCAGAAAAGAATTCAAGGCAAGTCACAGAGCACAGTAAAAGAATTGAGTTTATTGGAAACTACTCTATTACAGAGTAGGGCGTCCTCAGAAAACAGAAGGAGGAACACGCCATCCTTTCTTAGTGACTCTACTTACTAGAAACTGTAAGGGGCTAGATTTAGACTTGGAACATGCAGATGTGCTCTTTAAAGGTAGAGGCTATTGGTGTTATAGATGACCATTAATCCTTCAACCTAAGCCCACTCATTAACAGTAATTAACTCGTTAACACTCATTAACACTTTACTTAAGTAAAGTGAGCTGTATTCTTAGGACATCTGGACATTCTGCAGACTTGGTGGGAGATGTTCTGTATGGCCATAAATATTCTGTAATTATAATTGATGGTCAGCTTAGAATGTGGTTATTTTCAGACCATAAATATTAACCTTATAAGTGCCTTGTGAGTGCCTCGCTACTCACTTCAAGATGGAATCATTCAGGTCATGTTTTATTAAGCCAGAGGCGTGGTAGGCAGGGGTTCCTCTAACATGTTTATTCTCCCTAGAAGGGCATTCCCTCCTATGCTGCCCATTTACCCAACTAATCCTTGCGTATAAGTCAAGACTCAGCTCCAAGGGTACATCCCTAGGAAGCTTTGCCTGATTCTCCAATAGAATTGACACTACCCCTCCTGTGGCCTCATTGTGCCCTGAACATCAGTAATAGTAATAAATCAGACACTGACTGTTCTATACACTTTCAACTTACTGAATATAAAAAAGTTTTGTTGTTATTAAATGAAAGTATTACAAAATAATTTTATCTTCAAAGAACCACTTGAGAGCAGAAAGTCAGGTAGAAAAGAAAGAAGAGGAAATCCTACCTACAGCATGTTTCTTCCAAAGCAGCCGGTCCCTATTTCTCCTGCTTCAAAACAATGGAAAACTCCCACATTGGAAACTCTCGCTAGACGGCATTCTGAAATGATCAGTCATTCCGTGCTGTCCTTGCTGTTCCGCTTCATCACACTTGAAGCTTTGCCGGCTGGGATTTTTGCTGCCTTGGCAAACATGATGATGGTGTCAAACCTAATGTTTCCTAAATTTTTGCAGAAATGCACAGAAGACTTCCATGGGAGCCTATTGTCAATTATCTGGAAAAAGAGAAGTTTGCAGACATTAGAAGCAAGAACTGTGTGAGGATCGGCTCTGGGTTTTAATGAGAAGGATTCAAATTAGAATGTCGGCTATTTCCTATAGTTTGCTAAAAATAACCTGGGTGCCTGCTTCCTTCACTTGTGCTTCATTTTCAGTGCCTGCTCATCCTGAAGATTCAGAAGAGATGGAAAATGTTCCTTAGGATCCAGTACCCGTGCTATTTGTTCAGATAAATGTGATTTAGCTTTGATCTGCTCTCCTGTGCACCAATGGGTATGCTACCTTTAGGCTCCTGTCAGATATACACTAGAGGAAGCTTCCAGGTGATAAGGCGAACACAAACATCAATCCCTGTTGATTTCACCTCTTAAATCTCCTCCCATCACTGCCACCAACTTGTCCCAAGCTGCCATCATTTCTTGCATGGGCCACTGCAAAACCCTCCTGCCTGCTCTTCCCACCTTGAATCTGCCTTTCCCACCCCGGCCCTCATACTGTAACTAAGAACAATCTCCCCACATAAATCTGAACATATCCCCCCACCACCACTGATCAATGGCTCCCCATTTCTTTTATGATAAAGACTAAAATCCTTAACATGGTCTACAAGCAAGGACCTCCCTGACCTGTGCCCGAGACCCTCTCCAGCCCTGCCTCTCCACTTTCTACAGCCTTGCCCCTCTCCCCTTGGTTCTTCCTACTCCAACCCATGGTCCTTACACCAGTGACTTCTTCCTTCTACGCCCCAGCCCCACAGGGCCTCAGCTCATGTTCCGTCTTCCCCTCTTTTATCTACCTAATTCTTACTCATCATTCAGATCTCAATCCAGTAATCACTTTTTCAGGAAAGCAATCCTGACCCTGCAGACAAAGTCAAATTCTCTCCCATATTGGCTCTCCTAGCCCAAAAGCCTCTCCTTTGCAGCACTTATCTCTGCTGCAATTGCAGATTTATTTAATGATTAACTGATTAATAGAATTACCCCTCTGGACCGTAGCCTCATGAGGGCAGGAACCACATCTGCTTCATCATCATTGTATCCTCCACATCCAATACCATGTCTGGCACATATGGGATGTTCAATATTTGTTGAAGAAAATAGAATTAATCTCCTGGTTTGGTGTGAACCCAAGCCTCCCTTTTCTTACAGAGGTCCTTCCCAAGAGAAAGGAAAATATTTCCACATCTAAGTACAGCATTTTCTCTACCTCAGTCTAGGCCCCGTGAATGTCCTTGTTTCCCATCCCTTACTGTTCTTGCCTTAGTCATTTTGGTGGGAAATACCTGTATATAATAAATTGGGAGAGTTTTTCCCTGAATCTCCCTGAAATGTGGGGAATACATTAGTATTATGCTTTTCAGCATAAACTGATCTGACCTCTGCCTGATCTTTGGAGACACGAGTGCCTAAATTAACTCCATATTGCTTCTCAATTTCTTGACTCAAATGGAAGACCTTGTATATACCCTTCCTCATTAAGTTAAATGACATATATTTTAACATTTCAGTCCAGATGAAGTCTTGGGCACTCTCCTGTATCATGGAGGAGATTTAGGGAAGGAAGGGCAAGGGGAGAATGAATGGTGTCAAGGGAAGAGACTCAAAGGTTTTTGTGTGAAGCTTTAAGAATCAGTCTGAGGAAGAGGAAGGGCAGAGTGAGACCAGCAACGGGCCCTCCTAGGCAAAGGGAGGTTGGTTAAGGAAAGCTAAGAGAGAGGGTGAGCTGTGACACTTCCTCACCCAGTCTGCCCCGTTCCCCTGACCTAAAGTAGATCAGACCAGTCCTTTGGTTTGGGGTAAGGTGGATCTGGAGCCAGGAGGTGAACAGAGCCCCCAACTGTGCAGACAGCACCCTGCCCACCTTTTCTAGAGGGACAGCATTCAGCAGCTGGTGCTTTGGAAATCCAGCCCAGCCTGTGTTGAGAGAGTTATTATTGGCACATTCCTGAATTTTATCGGGTGTTTTAAAACAGCAATTACTGCGAGGATACGCAGAGATCTATAAACACTGGGAAATGTATTTATCTCCTTGCTCTGTGACAGCTGGGCCAGCTTCCACATGCCAAATGTTTTGCGGCAGGGTCAGATCGAGACTTCAGATGGTTGCCAGCAGGGAGCTACTATTTTGGGGGCACAGGTCATGGGAAAGTCTTATAGCTCAAAGTTGGCTTCTGTGCCTATCCCATAACTTTTCCTTCGGCCTCGTGTATCACAATTATCAACAAGCCTGTCAAATTTGAGGAAATCCTTTGATATCTTTGTTTAAAGACCCAGATGTGGTGCTGCCACACAAGCCTACAAGATAAATGGGCTCATCTTACAGAAAGGGGTAGGCAGCTTCAAGCCTCTCCTGCCTTTCACAGAAACAGAGGCCAGACACAGTAGCTCATGCCTGTATCCTAGCACTTTGGGAGGCCAAGGCAGGCAGACTCCCTGAGCTCAGGAGTTCGAGACCAGCCTGGGCAACATGGTGAAACCCTGTCTCTACTAAAAATACAAAAATTATCCGGTCAGCGTGGCATGTGCCTGTAATCCCAGCTACTCAGGAGGCTGAGGCACAGAATTGCTTGAACCCAGGAGGTGGAGGTTGCAGTGAGCCCAGATTGCGCCACTGCACTCCAGCCTGAGTGACAGAGTGAGACTCTGTCTCAAAAAAAAAGAGAAAAGAAACAGAGAGAAGAAGGAAAATGTTTAAATATCTTGCAATGTTCTGTTTAAGTATACATTTTCAGTTTCTGAATTGGGCTTTTAGTAATTCTATGTCCCTTTCAAAAACTATAGCTGCAAAAAAAGACAAAACAACATGCAATGCACTTACTTGGAAAATTTAAGTTCAGATTTTCAAAGGGCAAAGAGCTGAGGTTTAAGGTCGTTCATCTGGGAAATTTTTTCCAGCTAAGTGAATGAATGGGAAAGCTAAGGGTCACGTGACCAATGAGAAGTCCGTGTAGCTCTCTTTATTGTTTCTCATTCATCTGCTGTCCATGGATGGAAAAAGAAACTGATCAAGGGCAGAGAGTGACTTCAGGTCTCTTGAGGAACAGCAGAAAGCAATCCCAGATGAGGATCTAGTGCTAGGACTCTGATTTTCAAATTTTCGTGCATAACAGAACCAGCTAAGAGTGTTATTAAAATGCAGACTGTCAGACCCTTGTGGTATGTGGCCCAGGAATCGGCACTTTCTATGAGCATTTCATGTGATTTCAAAGTTGCCTGAGGAAAAACTATGCTAGGAAAGTTAAATCACAGTAGAAAAAAAAAAGATAATGGAGTCCAGTATGCACTATCGTTGTTAAAAGCCCAGGGGTAAAAGCCAAATATCAGGAAAAGCCAAATATCAGGAAAAGTATAAATTCAAGAAATATTCGGGTTATTAGAAGGTTGAGTTCCATGCAAACATTAGACAAGACCAAGGTAAGCTTAGCAGTCATCAGAAATAACTGCAAAGTAGTAAATGAGGCACCAAATTTTGGTTGCAAAGTGAGAGAAAACCCAACTCTGACTTATGCAAAAATTATCAAGAATCTCTTGGCCCATGGAAATGGAAAGTATAGCAGTAGAGCTGGTCTCCATGGAACTCAGAGGCCCAAACAACATCATTTAAACTCAATCTATCTTTGCTTCTTAAGTGTTATATTTCCTCTGTATTAGTTCTTTTTCCACAGGCTCTCCCCTTGTGGGGAAGGTATCTTTCTGAAGTTCCACTTTTTCCTATTTGATTCCAAGTCTGTAGAAAAGAGAACTCCCCTTTCCTGATTATTCTAGGGGGAAGAAAAAAGCCAGGGCTACCTCTAATTGGAGTAACTTGGGTCTCAGGACCACTTCTAAATCAATCCCTGTGTCAGGGGTGAAAATACAGTTTTGCTGAGATCTGTATCTTCTTCCCACCCTTAGATTTTGGGGGAGGGAGGAGGCAAAGGGAAAACCAAACTCCATTTATTCAAAGCACAGTGGGGAAGGGGAGATGTTTTCCTGAGAAAAAAATCAGGATGCTCTTCCCAGAAAAAGAGGAAATAGACGCTGGATAGCAGAAGCCACAATTGTCCACTACGATGGCTGACAATTATTCTTCTTGTGCATTTAATTATACAAAAATGTTTCTATCAGTTAGTATTCACTTGTTTTAATAAGCATGGGGTTCTATATTTACATATAGATATGATATTATTGAAATGTCCTGTTTTGTTGTTCGTATTCCCCAGTGGATTATAACCCCCAAGAGGGCAGAGACTGTGTTTATCTCGTTTATTCATGTGTAAACAGGTAGTCTCCAAAGTGGGATGTCCAAAAGAAGGTACTTGGAGACAACAGTAGAATTTCTATTTCCTTTTCTTACCTAATTTTTCTAAGGACAAATGAAAGCTTTATTTTAAGATTTAGTATATGATATATGCATTGGCAATGACAGTCTCACTATATTTAGAAGTCATACCATCATGCTAATGGTAATAAGGCTCCCAAGAGAAGCATGCATGTGAACTCTATTCCTCCTCGAATTTGTTGCTCCAGCTCCAGGCCTCCCACCCTCTACTCTGTCTCTTCGTCCCACTCAGTCCCATTCAGGCTCGTTACCTCAAGGTATGACTGTCTGACTAACCCCAGGACCTCTCTCTCAAGAACCACCCTCATTCAAGTGGGAAACCCACCTTCTTTCTGAACCCAGCAAACTGGATATGAGACACTAGCAGTAAAATCTGTTAATTCCCATGACCTTTATCCAGAGCCTCACTAATAAGGAACCCAACCTTTCAAAATGTGGGTTGAAGAACAGGCTGACCTCAATAGTTAGCCAAGTAGGATTTATCAAACACTTACCATGTGCAGAGTACTGTGCCAGGAAGAGGGAGATGAGATTCATAAGGGAAGAGCCTTGTTCTCAAGGACCTCAACCGGTTAGGAAAAGAGGTCATGTAACTAGACAGATGGCTGCCACATAGAAAGGAGGATAAGAATTACACATGCTTCCTTCAAAAGGCATTCTCCTCTGTAGTTTTAAAGGGAGCACTGCCTTTACTCCCCACAGACAGGACCAACTCTTCCTAAATCCCAGGTTCCTGGAGTTCTTTTCAACACAATGTTGGGCTTAACCCTGCCATACCTAAGCCAATGTCATTATCTCTTCTGTAGATAGAAACAAAGGGGCTTGGATATGTACCTGGTTTATCCAATGAGTCAGGAAACCATCCAACAAAAACTAAAGAGTAAAGATTTGATCCCAGGTTTAGAAACCGGACACATCACCTGCCCTGTGCTCATTCCAATAATGTAAACAGACTGGCTCCATTATTTGTTCATCTACGATGGTTGCAGGCAATGTTGCCAATGCCCATTTTTATGTTTCATTAAGATTTCAATTCATCTCTTCCTCATTTAGTCTCGGTGAAGGATCGATATGCCTCTAAATAAATACCACACAATCTTTCAAATAAGTTTATGTTTTTATTTATTTTGTTATAACATGGCCCAGAAGCAACTTCTATTCTTCTTTCTATTTCTCTAACTATATCCATTTTGCCAAAAGTTGTAGTTCTCGGAGTTTTCCTCTTGACTGTCTCTAAGAAAGGAAATTTTTTCTCTATGAATCTTACGTTTCCAAACAGACACCTCTCTGAGAAACAGACTTTAAAAGAAAACTATTATATGTGAGCATTCAGACTTTTTAAACCTGTACTGATGAAATATAAAATGTCCCAAGAGACACTCAAAGGCCCCTTTGATGTACCAAAGGCTTTACAAGGCTTGCTACCCATGGTACCCGAGGCTCAAAAAAGGTTTTGCTTTTTCTTTAAGCCTAATGAGATTTGACATCATTCAAGTGACTATGGAAATAGTGAGTTACCAAAATAATCTTTGTTAATTTTTTTGTGTACAAAGTGAGTGGGGCAACTCATGTTTTCCCAGATTATCATGTCTCATAGCTGAATCGCTTATATTTTTTTAAATGCAAGTAACAGAAAACTCAACTGTAAATGACTTAAACAATAAAGGGATTTAATCTGCCATAGATCAAGAGTTCTGAAGCAGGTTGGTTTTCAGTTGATCAACAAAGTCATCAAAAACCAGGTTCTTTCTCCAGGTTTTTTCTCCTCAGAATGTTGACTCTTAATCTCAGGCTTGACACATTATTGTAGAAAGATGGCTGCAACCTCAAGCATCACATCTTTACAAAGGCTAGAAGACAGAATATTCCATCCTTATTTGCCTGATAAAAGAAGTTTTATTTTTCAGAAGTCCTGCAAAAGGTTTTCTTCACATTTTATTGGCCAGAATTTTATCATACACCTGTTTCTAAACCAATCATTGGCATGGAAATTGGAATTAATCAAGATGTAATCCTCTAAAGCACCCAATGACCAACAAGTATACAAAATTAGATTTCTATTAGCAAGGAGACATGGCTATCATATAAGAAATAAACAGTCTCTGTGGTCAAGACCAACCCAAAAACAGGGAGATGGGAGTGGGAACAGGGATTGACCAAAGGAAACAGCTTTGAAGGAGTCAAATAACTCTCACCTTATGACTGGCCTGGGATGTCAACGGGGAGCCATTCATTTGGCATCTGAACTGAGTATATTGTCTCTAAAAAAGCTTAGTTAATTAGTTAGTCAATATATTAATTGGGAAGAAGAAAGACCAATAGGTAGCCATGTCCACTGACATGTGGGCAAGGATTTATTGATCAAATTAACTATAAGACACATTGGAAAATAACAACATGAATAATTGTGTTAGACATTTATTATATACCTGCCATGTACCAGCATTGTATAAAATGCTTATGTTATAGGAATGAAAACTGAAGCTAAGAGAAACCAAGTAATTGCCAATATTCACACAACTGGTTTGTGGTAGAACCAAGACTTGAATTCAAGGAAGTCTGACTCTAAAGTTCATATTCTTGATATAGATAGTTAATCCCTGAATTTATTTGGGAAACTCATCAGTTTAGAAACCTATGGACCATAGAATCGGCTCAAATAACTTTCTTCAGTTTTACTCACTTTGAGAAAGATATATTATGCATTTGATATGATTTGGATGTTCATCCTCTCCAAGTCTCATGTTGAAATGTGATTCCCATTGTTGGAGGTGGAGCCTGGTGGAAGGTGATTGGATCATGGGGGCGGATCCCTCATGAATGGCTTAGCACTATCCCCTTGGTGATAAGTGAGTTCTTGCTCAGTTAGTTCACACATGATCTGGTTGTTAAGAGTCTAGGATCTCTCCTTTCCTCTCTTGCTTGCTCCTGCTCACACCATATGACAGGTCGGCTCACCCTTTGCCTTCTGCCATGACTGTAAGCTTCCTGAGGCCCTCACCAGAAGCAGATGCCAGCACCATACTTCCTGTACAGCCTGTAGAACCATGAACAAACTAAACCTCTTTTCTATTTAAATTACCCAGTCTCAGGTATTCCTTTATAGCAATAAAAAAACAGCCTAACACAGCATCTAATAAGGCACAGTTCTGTGTGCTATCCTTGTTATGGAGGAAGTGAAGGAACCAAAGATTCGTAAGATATAGTCTTTGCCCTCATTAAACTTTCAGTTTTCTAACATAGACAAATACACCAAGAGTAGTCATAGTTTTAGTTTCAAGATAACAGAATAAGTACACAGGGAATGACAGTCATTCCCTGCTCTGAAGTAGTAAAATTACAGAAGAATATTTTTAAATGAATATATGGCCACATACAAAAACAAGATGAATTGATTTCACGGACCCGAAAATGAGAGGAATCTGGGAGACCAAAAGCCAGTAGGTCAGATAGAACAGGAAAATGGCATCTCAAGACATGTGCAAGTAGCTCATGGCCAAATATAACTGATAAAAAAGCGGTAATTATACAAAATGTGCTCCACATTCAGAAGTGGTAGCAGCCAGGAGCCTGAGGTAGCCAGAAAACTAGGAAACCCTGAAGCCTAGAAGAGCAGCCAGTGAGGTACCCTACTGAACTGTACATTCTGCCCATATCTGACTCTCTTTTAAAGCAGAGTAGGGACAAACTTCAAAGATGCTTCTCTCCTTTTCCCAAATGGAATGTGTAAGCAGAGGCAGCAAACAATCTAGCAAGGAATATCAACCGTAAAGATGTCCTCAAAAGAAAGGTCATAAACTCCGCTACAGAGGAGTCATATGCCTGAAGAAATAGTTAACAGGACACCAGAAAAGTGATTTAAGTTGAGTTAATGTCCTCTGAGATATAAGAGAGGAGACTGCATCCTTAAAACAAGAACAGATGGTTGTAAAACAAGAACAGGAAAAGAATCAGTCACAGATTTTTGGACATAAATACAACTGTTAAACTTAAAATCTCACTAGATAGGCTGATTAGCAGAATGGGCAAAACTGTAAGGTGACCAATGAGAGTTAAAGACTGGAGTTTGGTAATAGCGGGGCTAAATAACTATAGAAGTTCCAGATTCTACATTCTACATCCAGAAGAGAAAATCTTGTATTCCAGAATTCTTAGTAAGTCTCAAGTTACCAGCTGATTAGATCACCTGTGAATCAATTCTTGTGGCTAAAGGAATAGCACATATTGATTGGTTTAGGCCTGGGTTACTTGAACCAATCACTTCAGCAAGGCAAAATGAAATTACCTGGATTTGTTTATGCCACACAGGACCTATCCCTAAAACTGAGGGGTTGAGTGTACCGTACCTAAACAACATACTTGTTACTCATTGTGGTAGAGGTAAAGTCAATACTGGGGAGACAACCACATGTCCTCAACAATGTTTTGCTGAAGTAGGAAAGTGGGGGAAATTTGCAAAAGAGATTCAGTTTACAGAAATATTTGCTGAAATTGGTGGAACCCTGCTAATAATACAGGGAAGAGAAAGTAGCTCTAATGAAGAATTTTCGTGGCAAAGGCTACACAGCAAGCGGCAAATACAAGCTAGTTCTTGAACAGTGGAATTATGGGTGGGTTTTATATTTTGGTGTTGATTTTGCTTACCTGTATTTCTTATTTTTTCTATAGTCAACCTGTGTGGTTTTTAAATATTTTTAAAGATCACTTTTAAAAAAATCAGGGGAAGGGGAAGATGCGCTTTTTTGATTACTATTTGGAAAGCCAGCCTATAGGATATCACCAGCCTATTGGTTTTTCCCACACCAGCATCACTTAGAAAACTGGATTTAAAAAACAATATTGGAGTTATTCTTAGCTTTAGGAGAGAGTTCATCACAGCATTAATGCTTTGAATGCATTTTAAATATATTCTAACTTATAAAAGTGTACCTACAATAAAGAAAATGTGGCACATATACACCATGGGTTACTATGCAGCCACAAAAAAGAATTGAGTTCATGTCCCTTGCGGGGACATGGGTGAAGCTGGAAACCATCATCCTCAGCAAACTAACACAGGAACAGAAAACCAAATACTGCATGTTCTCACTAAGTGGGAGTTGAACAATGAGAACCCAGGGACACAGGGAAGGGAACATCACACACCGGGGCCTGTCGGGGGGGTGGGAGGAAAAGGAGGGAGAGCATTAGGCCAAATACCTAACGCATGCGGGGCTTAAAACCTGGATGATGGGTTGATGGGTGCAGCAAACCACCATAGCACATGTATACCTATGTAACAAACCTGCACGTTCTGCACATGTATCCCAGAACTTAAAGCAAAATAATAAAAAAAAGTGTACCTACATATTTTAGGAACATCTCTATTGTACATAGCCACATGATAATTCCATTGGACTTCCTGTCCTACAGATGCTAAAGGCTTCAACTAGGCTGTATATATTTCTACCAGATTTCACTAAACACCAGGACCAACAAACAATTAAAAGTAATTTCAGTAAACCCTCAAAAAGAGTAAGATGGTGGTTGGGGTGAGGGGAGGGTTGGAGGAGAAGTCAGGGATAGGGAGAGGTTAGTCAAACGGCATTAAATTTCAGTTAGACTGAATGAGTAAGTTCTGGAGATTTACTGTAAAGCATGGTGACTGTAGTTAATAACAATATATTGTATGCTTGAAAATTGCTGAGAGTAGATCTTAAATGTTCTCACCACAATAAAAGTATGTGAGGTGACTGACATGTTAATTAGCTTGATTTTATCATTTTCACAATGTATACATATAGCAAAAATCACTTTGTACCCAAAACAAACAACCAAAAAAAAAAAGGAAATAAAAAAGAAAAACAGGCTTGTCCAGTGAAAATTAAAATAAAAAATAAAGCCTCAAAGGATAAAGCCTTTATATTGTACTCTAAGCTCCTGGGTGTTCCTTCAAGAAAAAAAAAAAATGTTTAAGTGAGCATTGAACATTTGAAAGGAGTCCTCCCTTGCTGTAAACATTCTTTTACAAAATCCATGGGGCCGGGCGCGGTGGCTCACGCCTGTAATCCCAGCACTTTGGGAGGCTGAGGCAGGTGGATCATGAGGTCAAGAGATCGAGACCATCTTGGCTAAGATGGTGAAACCCCATCGCTACTAAAAATATAAAAATTAGCTGGGCGTGGTGGTGGGCGCCTGTAATCCCAGCTACTCAGGAGGCTAAGGCAGGAAAATCACTTGAACCCAGGAGGTGGAGGTTGTGGTGAGCTGAGGTCGTGCCACTGCACTCCAGCCTGGGTGACAGAGCAAGACTCCATCTCAAAATAAATAAATAAAATAAAATAAAATAAAAAATAAATCTAACAATGGGTAATGAGACCATGAGACCAGCAGCAGGTGTCACTCTATCTCCCAACTGTCTTCATGTTCCTAGCCCTCCACAGCACTTGGCAGCATATCTGATTTAAACTTTAATAAGTAGGGAAGTAAATATAATCCCAATACTACAGAGGAGGAAATCAAAGCTTGGAGAGATTAAGCAATTTGCTAAGGCCACATGTCTTTGCTAGAGCCAAGATTTAAATCTAATTTCTCCTTATTCTGGAACCCATACTCTCCCCACTTCACCAATGCTGCCTTGCTGGCAGATAGCCAGAATATTTATTCATTGATTCAATAAACAATTATCTACCACCTACTATGTGCCTAGCACTATGCTAGGCAGTGTAGAGACATATCTCTTGGACTTTGTGGATTATACCCCCTAGGTAGAGTGACAGGGAGACAATAAGCCAACCTACAAACTAATAAATATGCAATTATGAATGGCAGTAAGTGCAACAAGGGAGAAGAACAGGTGCTGAGTAGAGAGATGGTAGCAAGCTTACCTAAGCCAATCTAACCCTACACAGGTGTGAGGAATCAAGAAGATAGCCTCTTTCTGATAGCTGCCACTACTTACAGGTAGATGAAGCAATAAGCCTCCTACCCAATGGTAACTCATAAAATAGCAAGGTCAGACCAATTTCCGCTACACATACTGAGAAAGAAAGTTATCCCTAATCAGTGGAATTTTGTGGTCTGATTTGATTAGCTGCTCCTTTGGAGAGTAACCTCTCAGTATTACCATTCCTGATGAATTGCATAAGCTACTTTCTGGTAGACTTCAATGAGTTCAAGAGTCCTTTTGTCAGAGGCATTTGTCAGAGCAACTCCATCTTGAATAGGGGCTGGGTAAAATGAGGCTGAGACCTACTGGGCTGCATTCCCAGACAGCTAAGGCATTCTAAGTCACCGGATGAGATAGAAGGTTGGCACAAGATACAAGTCATAAAGACCTTGCTGATAAAACAGCCTGTGGTAAAGAAGCTGGCCGAAACCCACCAAAACCAAGATGGTGACGAGAGTGACTTCGGGTCATCCTCACTGCTACACTCCCACCAGCGCCATGACAGATTACAAATGCCATGGCAACATCAGGAAGTTACCCTTTATGGTCTTAAAAGGGGGAGGCATGAATAATCCACCCCTTATTTAGCATATAATCAAGAAATAACCATAAAAATGGGCAACCAGCAGCCCTCGGGGCTGCTCTGTCTATGGAGTAGCCATTCTTTTATTCCTTTACTTTCCTGATAAACTTGCCTTCACTTTACTCTGTGGAGTTGACCTGAATTATTTCTTGCTTGAGATCCAAGAACGCTCTCTTGGGGTCTGCATCTGGACCCCTTTCCTGTAACACTTTCTAGAAAATTTACAGTGCTGGATCTTCTATTTGCCCCTCCATCTCCACTCCCCACCCTTCTCCACCCCACTGGGACCTGGAAGCTGGCCTGCACGGACTGCACCCCTGGGCTCCCTGGCCTTCCAGCTTCTGTTGGGTTTGGCCAGATTAGAAGCACCAGCAGGAGACTGGAAATCAAAGAGTAGGAGGAGAGTGAGGTTGGGTATGCATCTCCTCGCTCTCTCTGAGCAGAAATGCCATGGGTTGGTGAGAGCCCTCTACTGCAAGACTCAGCTCCTGGCAGGGAGCGCCTGCCATGGAGCCCTGTTCTTTGGGTTCTAGCACCAGCTCCCTTCTCTTGCCCTTCAGGCCAAGGAATACTAATGGCTCCCACTGTTGCTAGCCCTAAGGACTGCACTACACCTGGTTAGTATCCCCATACTCTGCACACAGCATAACAAGCAGTCCCTTTATTCAACTGTCTTCTCATTGCCCATTAAGACTGAGCCATCTGCTCCCTACCAGGATCCTGATTAACACATCAAGCAGCTGATCATCAACACTGGGAGTTGCTTAACAACCTTTGACCAGTCTCCCAGGATATCTAATGATCTTTACCTAGACATTCTCTTAAAAAATATACAGTCGAGGCTGGTTGTGGTGGCTCATGCCTGTAATCCCAGCACTTTGGGAGTCTGAGGCGGGCAGATCACTTGAGGTCAGGAGTTTGAGACCAGTCTGGCCAACATGGTGAAACCCTGTCTCTACTAAAAATAAAAAAAAAATTAGCTGGGTGTGGTGATGGGCGCCTATAATCCCAGCTACCCAGGAGGCTGAGGCAGGAGAATCACTTGAACCCAGGGATCAGAGGTTGTAGTGAACCAAGATCACGCCACTGCATTCCTGTTTGGGTGACAGAGTGAGACTCCATCTCAAAACAAACAAACAAAAAACAGTCTAATAGTGATTATCTAACTACCTTTTTTTCCCCTAAAAAATCTGTATTAAGAAATATCTAAGTTAGTTTGCCCATAAGCCTCCTCCCTGGCAGCAAATTTGAAAAGTACCTTTGGGCTGGGTGCAGTGGCTCACGCCTGTAATCCCAGCACTTTGGGAGGCCTAGGCAGGCAGATCACCTGAGGTCGGGAGTTCAAGACCAGCCTGACCAACATGGAGAAACCCTGTCTCTACTAAAAATACAAAATTAGCTGGGCGTGGTGGCTCGTGCCTGTAATCCCAGCTGAGATCACACCATTGCACTCCAGCCTGGGCAACAAGAGTGAAGTTCCATCTCAAAAAAAAATAAAAAAAGGAAAATACCTTTGATATATGCTTGCAATTAATCTACCTGAGAAGTTACTTTAACAATACAGACACAAAAACAGTCATATATTCTATTCTGTAAACTCAATGAAGTCCTAGTTTTCTGTCCTTTTAGGTACTGGGATAGTATCTTTCCTGAAAAGTTCACTCAAAACTGTGATCTTGTCACAGGAAAGGGGATCCAAAGCAAACCCCAAGAGAAAGTTCTTGGTTCTCACGCAAGAAAGAATTCAGGGCGAGTCCTTAGTGCAAAGCAAAGGCAAGTTTATTAAGAAAGTAAAGTGGTGAAAGGACAGCTGCTCCATAGACAGAGTAGGGTGTTCCCGAAAGTAAGAGGAGGCACGCATCCACCCTCGGTGCAATCCTTGTATATATGGGGACATGTGCTCTGCTACAAGGGTTTGTGATAAAGAATTACTTTTCTTAATTACTATACTTTGCAAGAATTGATATTACTATCTTTAAAGCAAAATTAGGAATGTCTTTGTTCTCCAGATATTGGGATATCTGGATGCTCCCAAGTCTGGGTCAGTTTAGTAACCACTATTAATTTGTTCCTTTAATCGTAAACATCGAGAGGCGAGGAATGCCTGACTTTCTGAGAAGGCAGCCCAGCAAGTCTCAGCCTCATTTTCCTAGCCCTCACTCAAAATGGAGTCGCTCTGGTTTGAACGCCTCTGACAATCGGAGGGACAAAACAGATGCCTCTATATCAACTAAGATGAATCCTAAAATTAAAGAAACAAAATTACCTATGGGTCAAAGGTCCAGGACCTGGCTCACATGAAAAATTTCTAAATTCTTATGGCAGTAAGAAAAAACACACTTTTATTAAACTCCCTAGCAAAAGGAGCTTTCAGACCCCTCCTAAGTCTGATTTACTACTCAGATCACAACTCTGACTGGACAGAGGATCAGCCTTACACACCTTCTTTTCTGATAAACAACTGTGTGCCTTAAGCCAATTTCAGCCAACTGCGCACAAATTGTCTTTGTGTCCTATAGTTCACTTTTTGACTTAAAGGGCCAAATTCCCCCTCATTTTAAAGCTAAAACACCACCCCAAAATGAACGTGTGATGTATGGTACATATGTATTTATCCAATGCACATGTGCTTGGCTCCCCTTATAAATATGTACAGCTCTTCCCCAAAATCCTACTGTGTAATACAAACTCTGTGAGGCATGAAACCCAATCTGTCCCTTCCCTCCTTGAGAAGAGGGTACCTTCAGCCCATGCCAGATAATATCTCCTCCCAGGTTGCAAACTGATATCACCAATAAAACTCTCCTTTCTACTATTTAGCATGGTGGTCTTTTGATGACAAAGCAAATGTGGTAATATTCTAGAGTCAGGATTCAGCTACCAAGCCAAAGCAGGGTCACAAAAATCCTCCAATCAGCATCTGAGCACAGGGTAAGTTTGAGATCAAAATCCTAGAGAGAAGGTAATGGCCCTGCAGAATCCTTATATCCTGTTTATGTAAAGGTGAGAATACTCAAACAATATTTTAAGCAAATCCACACATTTAAAGACCCTCATTTCATCAGTGACAAAATTCTTGATCAAACCCTCTAATGCAAGTCAGAGATGGGGAATCCTGAAGTCCCTCTAGTTGTACTTGCCTCTGGAGTACAGACCTTGTTTAGAACTTTCAAATGCTACCTAGCCATCCCTTTAGTGTATAATTCCTGATTAGAGTACATAAATATTAACTAACTGCCTCTAAAGTACAGATAAAAACCAACTAATAAAGATTTTACAATGTCTATATTGTAAAATGTGAACGTTTTAAAAGTAAATTACAGAGACTAAAACAGATAAATGCCCTTAGGCAGATCGCTGCCGTCCCATGAAGCTGGCTTGGGCCATCTCTTCATCTACATATAGAGCACATGATTATTATCTCGTTACACTATTCCTGTAAGGCAAAACTACATGTAAAACATTAACATAAAGTCACCATGAAAAGCCGTAAAATGCCATTGTACTTTATAGAAACCACATTACATTTGTAATTACCTAATAATCCATTATACTAAATAAACTGCATTTAATTTTAAGAAACGATTCATCATTTATTAAATAACCCCACTGTAGTCTCAGTGGCATGGTATTCCTTCTCCATTTACCATTTCTTTTTGCTCAGGATAACAGTTTAAGTAGTTTGTAAATCAAAGCCCACATCCTTGGAAGAGCTCGGTGTGAAATGCTCACCAAGGTTATACTGTGACCTGTGCTCTTGATCTGCACAACTGCCTCATAGGAGACAAAACAACTCTTGCATCCTTACTCAAGTATTAGGAGGTGGTGCCATCCATTCTGCCAGTCTCAGTTCATTCATTATTAAGCAGCTCATATGAGCATCCTGTTGAGGCTGACCTGTGAAGCCTGGAAAGGAAAACCTAAGGTGTTTGTAGGAAGGCCGTATCCATCTTGCTGAAGATTATGGGCAATTATCCAATTTTTAAAACAAGGAAGGATCTGTTTTTGGGAGGCCTACCTACTGGTGGCTAATTGCTTGAAAATGTTAGACAAAATACAATTTCTCAGGCGGTGAGCCACCTCCCAGTAGATTTCCTCTTCTAAAGTGGATCCAACCCATGACAGTTGCTTCCAAAAAACTGCCTGTAGTGTTTTGTTGTGAAGGAATTTCATTGTATTGTTTGAAAGAGAAGGGCAATTAGGTGCCATTAAGGTGAAAAACACAGAGACTCTTCACTGAAATGGTATGTATTATAATGAGATTCATGTGTAATGAAGTCATGTGAAAGCTATTTCAGAGAATGAGCTATTATATTAAAATCTCTACTTTGTAAGAAATATAAAAATAACATTTCATGACAGACATTCTACATGCAAATTAGGACTCTGTTAACTGATTAGAGCTAAATCTGCTAGGAAGTGCTTAAAAATAGGGAAGAGACACCTAAGGTGATTTGTCCAAGCAGATAGAAAGAAAAGGGGGAAAAATACAAGGAGGTGCTGGGAAGAAGCCAGAGAAGACAGTCTGCTAAGTGGATATCCAGATACTAACAGAGTTAAACATGCACTTTGTAAGAATCCCTAGAGAGTGCTCAGAGAGATCTTAAGGCTGACTGTATAGGACTGTAGCGGTTTGGGTTTTGTTGTTTTAATAGCTGCAAATCATCTGATGCTTCTCCCATCAAATGTGGGGTCTCTCCCTCCTCCCCTTGAGGGTGGGTGGGCCTGTGATTGCTTCAACCAACACCATCCATGTGACTTCTGAAGCTTTTAGCTTCCATTTAGTTTTGTTAGGATGTTTGTTCTCAGAGAAGCCAGTTGCCATGTAAGAAATCAGGATACCACCTGCTGGACCACCGTGGCTAAGACCACCCTGCTGGAGAGGCCAAGTGTAGGTGCCCTTGTCAATAGTCCCAGCTGAGCTCCTCGCCAACAGCCAGCATCAACTGCCAGCCATGGGAGGAGCCACCTTGTTTCTGCAGTCCAGGGGGACCTTCAGATGACCGTAGCTCCCGCAGACACCTGACGGCAACTAAGGGAGAGGCACCCAGTGAGAACCACCCAGTCGAGCCCTTCCCAAATTCCTGGCCCTGGGGTAATTGTGTTATATCAATGCTAACCAGAACAAGGACCAATTCATTGACCTACAGGAGATCTGGGTGAGAATTTTACAAACTACAATATTCTATGAACTGCATTAAGCAAGCTTTAAAAAAATTAGACTGGGAAACTGTTGGCAGGTTCTGGCAAACAGTCTTAATAACTGTGGAGCCTTTTCTTTACAGATCTAGAGAAATACCCCTGTCCCCCAGACATCACAGAGAACTGAACTAAATCACCCCTTCACTCTAGAATCTGTTTTCTCACATTTCATTTTCCCAGAAGTCCCACTGAGTACTAAAATGTTTCCTCAAAAAGTGTCAGTTTGAGATGTAAAAAGAAAATGTTTATTTAAAAGTACTGCATTCTGCTGTTTTTAATCCCAAGCTGAATGGAGTCCTTCTTAGTTGCTCCTGAGCTAAATCCTTTTCACTAATAATAGTTTTATTCTTAAAGGTTTCAGTAGCTCTGAATCAAATTCTGTTGTGACTCATGCGATGTGTGGGTAGCAGCTAAAGACTTTCAAGAAGGGTAAGTTACTACAGAGGAAACATCCCAAATGATTTTGAAAAATAAATTGTAACAGTTATAAAACATCCATGGCAGAATCTGCAGGCAGCCCTAGAATTAACTGTGCTGAGGATTAGCAGCAGGTAAATGGTTAGAAAGGGAATAAACTGGAAAAATAACCTTTGGAAGAGTGGGTTGGAACAAAGGTCTATGCTCATCAAAAGCATCTGACAGTTGGCCTAACAGGAAGACAGGTGCCATAGAATGAGGGGTTAGGAGAGCTGAAGTACCGGCAGATGCTAGCTCAGCCTCTAGACAAGATTTCTCTCTCTCTCTCTCTCTCTCTCTCTCTCTCTCTGTCTTATGCACACGCACACACACAGCAAACTATCTAAGAGCCATAAAATCAGACTAATCCTACCGGCTGTCATTCTTCAGGTGGACCTCTCCTGCACTGATTTTACCTTCCACGTAGCATTAAAATGACACAAAATGAGTCAGGCTGACCAAATCTTTGATCTGCTCAAGGCAGAAACTTGGTGTGTTAGTCTGTTCACACATCGCTGTAAAGAAATACCAGAGACTGAGCAATCTGTAAAGAAAAGAGTTTTAACTGACTCACGGTTCTGCAGGCTATACAGAAAGAATGGTGGCATCCACTTCTGGGGGGGCCTCAGAGAGCTTCCAATCATGGCAGAAGGCAAAGTAGGAGCAGACCGTCTTAGGTTAGTGCACAAGTAATCACAGTTTTTGCCATTACTTTTAATGGCATCCAACTAATATATGGCAGGAGAAGGAGCAAGAAAGAGAGAGAGAGAGGAGGTGCTACACACTTTTAAACAACTAGATCTTAGGAGAACTCACTCAGCATCATGAGAATAGTGCCAAGGGGATGGCGTTAAACCATTCGTGAGACGCCTGCCCCCAAGATCCAGTCACCTCCCACCAGGCCCCACCTCCAACACTGAGGATTATAATACAACCTAAGATTTTGTGGGGACACAGATCATATCACTTGGCAAAACAACAACATAGAAAAGTTATCACCAGCCTCTTGCTTTTCCTTTCTGTACCTTACGCCCTGCAAAGTGCGTGCCCCAAGCTCTCCCCCAACTCAATTATCCCCTCTCTGACGAAGCAGTTGGTGTGACCCACTCAGTGAAGTGTCCTTATTAAGGGAGAGTTTCCACAACAGGACTTTTTCCAACTCCCCTTCTCCACCCTCCAGTTTCCCATTCTGTGAGTCCTAAAATCCCCCTTCGCTGACTCTCCATTGCATTTAGGGAAAAAAATCCACACTCCATTTCTCAGTATTTAAGAATATTCACAATTTAAGATCCTTATAGCTACATTTCTCACTCTTTTCTTCTCCAGACAAAGGCAGATATTCACTGCTTCTTCCTCGGTTGCTGTTGGTCACCATGTACTTCCCCGCAATCATATTTCTGTCTGTGCCTTGCCCCCAACCCAGAACGCCCTTCCTCCTACGTCAAACACACCAAAGTCCACCTTTATTTCAAGGCCCAGATCAAATCTGCCTACCTCCATGACATGTTCTCCTCTCCCCTGGACCACAGAGATCCTGCCCGCCTCTGAATTCTCCACCAATCATTTGGCCCTTACTCACACTGTGTCATTATTCATTTGTTTAGATTTTTCTTTCTCAATGGAAGGCCATGACAATATCATGCATCTTTGGTATCTCCAGTGAACCATGCCCAATCCTCAGCTTGTGTTAGATGACAATAATGCTATAGTTAAGAGACACCCTACATCAAAAACTCCTGACTTCATGCTCTTTTCAGGGATCCAATACATTTCAGTGTTTTATTGTAGTTTTCAATGATGTGATAATGCTTAAGAATAACACTAAGGATATATTTTTTAGCTCCTCAGCAACCCAAATGGAGAAGATATATTGAGTCAGCTCAGCTGACTCTTTAGACCAATGTAGGTCCTCTTGAACCTACTTGTTCCCATCATAGTCTGTATGTGCCTGTAATGAGGACAGAAGGCTGTGTACTTTCTCAAATTCCCTTGACCACCTATTTTTTTTTTTCTCTTGAATGAAATCCTACCTATGCCAAGCCACCCTTCTTCCACTGATGGACTTAGATAAAACACCCAGTCTCAGAGCATGAGATGTGACCAACCCAAGCAGGCCAGCTGACACAACCTGAAAGGGGAAAGAGGTTTGTTTCCTGTGGGATGAGCCTCAATCAATAGGAAGCAGGAGGGAGCAAGGCAGATAAATTCCCCCTTCTCTTTTTCTTCTTCTTCTTCTTTTTTTTTTTTTTTGAGACAGAGCTTTTGCTGTGTTGCCCAGGCTGGCATGCAATGACAGGGTCTCGGCTCACTGCAACCTCCACCTCCTGGGTTCAAGCAATTCTCCTGCCTTGTAGCTGGGATTACAGGTGCCCACCACCACACCTGGCTAATTTTTGTATTTTGTTTGTTTGTTTTGTTTTATTTTTGAGATGGAGTTTCACTCTTTTGCCCAGGCTGGAGTGCAGTGGCGCGATCTCAGCTCACTGCAACCTTCACCTTCCAGTTTCAAGTGATTCTCCTGCCTCAGTATTGGGGGAACCCACCCCCAATATTTCAACGTAGGTTCTTTCTATTTTCCATAAGTGTTGGCCAGCTGAGAAATAAAGAGAGACAGTATAAAGAGAGGAATTTTACAGCTGGGCCGCCGGGGGTGACGTCACATATCGGTAGGACCGTGATGCCCGCTTGAGTCTCAGACCAGCAAGTTTTTATTAAGGGTTTCAAAAGGGGAAGGGGTGTAAGAACAGTGAGTAGGTACAAAGATCACATGTTTCAAAGGGCAAAAAGCAGAACTACTAGTAAGGGTCTAACAAAGATCACATGCTTCTGAGGGAACAGGACAAAGGGCAAAAACAGAACTACTGATAAGGGTCCAACAAAGATCACAAGGCAAAGGGCAAAAACAGAACCACTGATAAGGGTCTATGTTCAGCAGTGCACACATTGTCTTGACAAACATCTTAAACAACAGAAAACAGGGTTTGAGAGCAGAGAACTGGTCTGACCACAAATTTACCAGGGCGGAGTTTTTCCCCACCCTAGTAAGCCTGAAGGTACTGCAGGAGACCAGGGCGTATCTCAGTCCTTATCTCAACTGCATAAAACAGACATTCCCAGAGCAGCCATTTATAGACCTCCCCCCAGGAATGCATTCCTTTCCCAGGGTATTAATATTAATATTCCTTGCTAGGAAAAGAATTTAGGGATATCTCTCCTACTTGCACGTCCACTTATAGGCTCTCTGCAAGAAGAAAAATATGGCTCTTTTTGCCTGACCCTGCAGGCAGTGTGACCTTATGGTTGTCTTCCCTTGTTCCCTAAAAATCGCTGTTATTCTGTTCTTTTACAAGGTGCGCTGACTTCATATTGTTCAAATACACATATTTTACAATCAATTTGTACAGTTAACACAATTATCACAGTGGTCCTGAGGTGACGTACATCCTCAGCTTACAAAGATAACAGGATTAAGAAATTAAAGTAAAGACAGGCATAAGAAATTATAAAAGTATTACTTGGGAACTGATAAACGTCCATGAAATCTTCACAATTTACGTTCCTCTGCTGCAGCTCCAGCTGGTCCCTCCGTTTGGGGTCCCTGACTTCCCGCAACACCTCAGCCTCCCAAGTAGCTAGGATTACAGGTGCCCACCAACATGCCTGACTAATTTTTGTATTTTTAGTAGAGATGGGGTTTCACCATGTTGGCCAGGCTGATCTTGAACTCCTGACCTCGTGATCCACCCGCCTCGGCCTCCCAAAGTACTGGGATTACAGGCGTGAGCCAACAGTTCTCAGCATCTCTTGCATTGAGGTGTCCCCGAGACTATGTTCTGGCAAAAGGTGGTATTAATATATGCAGGAAGAGCAATCTCTAACTGATATGCCCTTCCATAAGCCCTGGATTTCTTTCAAAACTTTGTCAAGATATACCTAGCAGCCTTCAAGTTATACCTAAATTATTTGCCTCCAAAACAAACCAACCAAATTAAAGATATACCTTGCAAACATGCAGTTCACCAAAATTACATGCTGATTGCTTTCATTTTCTACTAGGCTCTAACTGCTACAAAGGTGGGAGCTATGTTGGTCTTGTCCACTGCCTTAACCTCAGTGCCTAACTTCTGCCTGGTGTATGTATCCAAATACACCTTAGACAGAAGACTACTAAACGAAAAAACTCAAACACTGTATTACTGCTTACTTGGATTATCCATGATTAGAACACAACTCACTCATATATTCATTCATTCAGTCAGTCAATATTAATTGATTGCCTACTGTGCAATGTGCACAGTGACGTTAATTGAAGATCCTGCCAGGAATAAAACAAAGATGCTACTCTCAATGAGCTTACCTTTTAATGGGAGAGACAGACAATCAACTCTTAAACAGTAAGAGTTTCAGACAGTGATAAGTGTGATAAGGATGAAGCTACTTTACCTGGAGTGTTCCAAAAAGGCAATATTTAGGCTGAATTCACTGTCATCATATCAACAGGCCTCAACCTTAATCACTTCAGTCCAAAAATTTAAGTTCTGAGAACTAATTGTTTTCTAATGACAAGCAAGGGATGATATGATCAATTTCCCTTATTCAGATTTGGGATTACACGCATTTCTGAATAAAATAAAAGGAAGGGAAGCAAGGGAGAGAAGGAAAGGGAAGGGAATGGAGGGGAAGGGAAGGAGAGGGAAGGGAGGGAGAAAAAGAAAGAGAAAAAAGAGAAGGAGAGTGGGAGGGAGGGAAAGAAGAAAGAAGGAAAGAAGGAAGGAAGGAAGGAAAGAAAGAATTTTATCTCACTAGTATTAAACAGCTTTCCACTAGTATTAAACAGAGAGAGACACTATATGGGTGAAAGAGAAGGCCAAAGGACAGGGTCTTCTCTAAAAGTAGAGACAGCATTGGAAAGAATTGCTAGTATCCACAAGAACAGCCTTCCAACTTTCCTGTGTTCCAAAGAATGCACTGAACGCTGTATTATTAATTTTGCAGCCCTTGTTTATGTTTTAGACTCTCCAACAGCCTCAATCTTTATTCCTCAGATCCTCCTGGGGCTCTTTGATGTGATTCCTGAGCTCCCAAGTGAGCCCTCATCACATCCTAGGAGAACCACGGAGACATTCCCTTCATGCTCTGACCTCTCTCCACCACTCCAGCTCCACAAACAAAGCAAGCTGCCCTTTGAGAATTGGCTCTCCTAAGAGTTGAAGTGAAGAATACTTTTAATTTTTCAAATCCAGAGAGGGCTGTAATACTGCCCAGCTCAGGAATGCTAGAAATTAATGTCACATGTCTTTATACCATGAGTTAGCTTGGCAAATTTTGAAAGGAAAAAATGTTTTTAACTTGGCTATGTCGATGGAGTAGAAATGTTTGGTTTCCGTTTATTTTCTTCAGTGTTGTTTGTTTTCTTTAGTGTCGACGGAGTAGAAATGTTTAGGTTTTGTTTGTTTTGTTTAGTGTTGATTAAATGAAAATTTGTTTATAATTTAAATACCCTTGTCTCTTTCTGTAGGTGGGTTGGAAGAATGGACAGGGTTCAAGAGGGTAAAGGAAGCGTGGGTGAAGGCCTTCTCAGCCCAGCTGAGGGATATGCTAAGGGATGGCAATAGTATTGGACAGAAAGCTGCTACATTTGCAGTGCTGTCAGTTTCCAGAAAATGGGGATGGTGGAGGTCAGGACTAGCATGAGGCAAATGAGGCATTCAGGGCACAAAATTTCAGGAGGCAAAAAATTTAAGGAGGTGCTCAGGTGCCTGCCCTTATACCACAGGGAACGAAAGGGCCTCCTTAAATTGTATGCTCCAGGGCCCACTCTTACTGCATCCTAGTGCCTAGTTCTGGCCCCAGGGAAATGAGTTCTATTAGGATTTCAAGAAAGTCTGTGGATCCAGACATCAATTCTCTTAGTCATGACAAATGGGCATGCAAAGGTGGAAAACAGGATTGGTGAAGAGTTGACAGATTTACCACTAAAAAGGAATAGACCTCATTTTCCTGGCTAAGAAGAACAAAGTGTGTCTTGGCTTAGAAGACAGGATCACTTTCCCGAGACAAAAAGAGGTACAAGTTATAAAATCCACCCTTGACTCTTCTCCCTCTTACTCATGCTATTCTCCCTTTTCCACACCCAGCCCACTGCCAAATTAAAATAATAAACATGTAAAGTTCTAAAATGAACTGAAGTAGGGAAAATAGGTCTGAACTTTGTTGGGAGCTAGAAAA